>NC_000017.11:6551717-6703232 GCF_000001405.40 Homo sapiens | reverse complement strand
TTCCCAATCCTCAGGTCAGCAGCAGAGTCAGGACCTGGGGCTGGGTGGGCAGCCCCCATGACTGGCTCAGCTAACAGCGCTGTGCCCACCACAGGGAGTCAAGTGATTTTTGAAGGCCCCACTCTGGGGCAGCAGGAAGACCAAGAGCGGAAGAGGTTGTGTAAGGCCATGACCCTGTGCATCTGCTACGCGGCCAGCATCGGGGGCACCGCCACCCTGACCGGGACGGGACCCAACGTGGTGCTCCTGGGCCAGATGAACGAGTGAGTCCTTGGTCGCACCTTCTGGGGACAACGAAGTGGGTACCGGGGCTGGAGGGACCTGCCCACCTCTCTCTGCTCCTCTGCAGAGTCCTGGAAAGCCTCGGGGCAGCCAGACCTGGCCTGGGAGCCTGGCAGGGGTGGAAAGATGTGGCCCCATCTAGCCTCTGTGTCCTGGCACCCCTGTGCCCACACAGAAGCCTTAGAGAGGATAGGGAGCTGATGTCAGGGGAGCTAACGTCCCAGTCTGCTTTCTGCTATGATGCAAGACCCACCACCTCCCCTGGGGTCAGGGACTCTGGCTCAGAGAGGGAGTGTGGATTGAACTCTGAGCTAAAGTCATGGCAGATGACAATGTACTTCCAGACGCTGGGTCCTTGGTTGAAACTTGTAGAAAATAGACACCTCTAAAAGACTCCCCAGCACTCCCTTTGCTCACTGCTTTTGGTGGCTAATGGTGATGGCCCCATGGCATCCGAGGTCTACAGATGGTATGAAGGGCTGGGGTTGGGTCATTCACTGCTTCACTGCTTCGTTATAGTCCCCTTGTGAGGTATCAGGTGAACCATGGGATGGTTTGGAACTTTCTAGCCTTGGCCACAAAGGGATGCAGGCCATGAGGACCCCAAGAGGGAGAGAAACCTGGGCCCTGCCGCGGGGTAGTCATGGTCTGTTGAGGGTGGCAAGATGCCTGGGGCTTCCAGGCATGTCTGGTACATAAATGTACTAATTGAGGTATGTACTAATTGCAGTGGGCAGGCACAAAAATAAGGTGATGCCATCCTTTGCAGACAGGAGCCTGGACAGGGGTGGGGAGGGCAGTGGGCGCAGGAGCTGGGAGGTGGAAAGGACAGGTCTGGAGCCTGGCTGGGCAGAAACGTGAGGTTCAACAACCCGTTTGTTTTAATTTCGGGAGTGTTTTCTGTAATGATATCCTTACAGTTCTCCAGTAACTTTCTTTGGGAAGAGCAGCCCGTCTGGGCTGAGTGGGGAAAGCTCTGCGCCTGCTTTGACACTCTTGAGCTAAAGGGGGCGCCCCTGGGGCTAGCAGAGCCCCGGGGATGGGAGGCGGGGCCTGTGGTGGAAGTGACCCTCCTCCAGCCTCCGCTCTGGGAAGCTTTTGAGATTTCCTTTGCTAAGTGGGGGGACCGTTCTTTGCAGAAACCCACAGAGCGAGATTGCTGAGGTCTCTGCAGATCCCCAAAGATGTCAGCCAAATTACATGCATGTGTATAAAAGGTGTATTTTTCTTTTTTTTCTTTTTGAGACAAGTCTCGCTCTGTCGCCCAGGCTGGAGTGCAGTGGCGCGATGTTGGCTCACTGCAACCTCTGCCTCCTGGGTTCAAGCGATTCTCCCGCTTCAGCCTCCCTATTAGCTGGGATTACAGGCGCCCGCCACCATGCCTGGTTAATTTTTGTATTTTTAGTGGAGACGGGGTTTCACCATGTTGGCCAGGCCAGTCTTAAGCTCCTGACCTTGTGCCCCACCTGCCTCGGCCTCCCAGAGTCCTGGAATTACAGGCGTGAGCCCCTGCGCCCGGCCACAAAGTTGTATTTTTCTGGAGGGATGGGCCATAACTTCCATGAGACTCTTAGCAAGGCCTGGACACACAGAAGAGTCAGTGGGTCATTTCTCGGCCTTGTCTTGTGCTGTGGCCATGTTCTGAGGCTCCCACTCGATTAGGGGACAATGCTTGGCAATGGACTTGGTGGCTAGACCTCAGGAGGATGTGGCCTCCACACAGGCGCGCCTCTCAGGGCCCAGCTGCTGCTCCGTCCCCACGCACAGGGCCAGGCTGGCTCCCACAGCTCAGCATCTGAGGTGGGGGCCGGTGTCTTCTTGTAGGTTGTTTCCTGACAGCAAGGACCTCGTGAACTTTGCTTCCTGGTTTGCATTTGCCTTTCCCAACATGCTGGTGATGCTGCTGTTCGCCTGGCTGTGGCTCCAGTTTGTTTACATGAGATTCAAGTAAGTTTGAGCTGCTCACAGCCTAATTATGCCTAATTATGCCTCAAAGCTGCAGAAGAGCCCTCAGACTCAATAGGCAGGTTTACAAAGTCCTTCGTGTCTGGCCCTGATCTTTCTCCAGCCCTGTCTCCTGCTAGTCTGCCCTCCTGTTCCTTCGAACCCAGGCTGCTCACTGAGCTTTGTGCACACGTGGTCCCCTTTCCCTGGAATGCCATTCTCTACCTTCCCACCTCCTCAGCCTTCAAGGCTAGTTCAAATGCTGCTTCCCTGACTTTTCCCCACCCCCATTCCATCTCTGAGCGGCCCCTGGGCATATCACAGGCCTGTCCTTTAGTATCTGCATTTGGCTTCCGGTGACTTTGAATTCCTCCAGAACCACTCTGATGCTGGGCACCCCGCACAGCTCCCAGCACAGGGAGGAAGAGCAGGCAGGTTAAAGCAATTAAAGATAAGCTGGTCCCCACGTGCCAGTTCGACATTGCTGGACAAGCTTCCTCTTTGCCGTGTGGGTCCATCAGGCCAGGTCACCGCAAACCTGTGACTTAGCTCTGAGCTGAGCGCATACGCTCTGTGCCTCAATGCACGGGGAGTTTAAGTCGAGTAAAACCAGCAGTGATTATGACCAAATCCATCCAAACCCAGACATTTACTGAATACCTCTGGTGTTCCCAGCAGTGTACAGGTCCTAGAAAGTTTACCTTCCTGTTCCTAGCACACAGGCAAGTTCATCAGGGGTCACCTTTGATGGCAGCCAGACTTTGGACAGAAACCATGACCTGTGGCTGACAAATAGCTAAAAAAAAGTTATTGTTTTTCTAAAACACACAAATTTATCTGTGGTGCAAAGGTGATCAGGCCACACCAGGATAGAAAGTACTCAGCTCTGAGTTAAGTGCCTGTGCTCTGTGCCTCCATCCACAGGAAGTTCGAGCCAAGTCAAACCAGGGGAATTTGTGACCAGAGGGAAGAGACTGCAGAGCTCAGAGGCAAAAGTGCCCACGGAAACCTGTGATTTTGTGGGGAAAATAGGGAATTTTCCTAAGTTTTCTTCTGAAGGAGGAACTGTTTTGAAAACTCCCATTAAAAAGTTGCTATACAGGCCGGGCGCGATGGCTCACACCTGTAATCCCAACATTTTTGGAGGCCGAGGTGGGCAGATCGCCTGAGGTCAGGAGTTTGTAACCAGCCTGGCCAACATGGTGAAACCCCGTCTCTACTAAAAATACAAAAATTAGCCGGGCGTGGTAGCCCACGCCTGAAATCCCAGCACTTTGGGAGGCCAAGGAGGGCGGATCGCCTGAGGTCAGGAGCTCGAGACCAGCCTGGCCAACATGGTGAAACCCCATCTCTACTAAAAATACAAAAGTTAGCTGGGCATGGTGGCACATGCCTGTAACCCCAGCTACTTGGGAGGCTGAGGCAGGAGAATTGCTTGAAGCCGGGAGGTAGAGGTTGCAGTAAGCCAAGATCATGCCACTGCACTCCAGCCTGGGCGACAGAGCAAGACTCTGTCTCAAAACAAAAAAAAAAGTTGCTATACATATTCAAAACAATCATAATAATGATAGTAAGAATGACAATATTAATGATCATTGCCCAAACCCCACTCTGTCCTGCCCATGGACGGGGCAGGGGAAACTGTTTGCATGGCTGCCTGGCCACCCAGCCTGGCTTTGACAGTAGCTCTCTTTGCCCTGCCTCTTGAATCTGCACCAGGGCCAAAGTCCTGTTCATTTGTTCACATCCGTCGAACAGGTCTCTCAGGAGATGGTCCTGAACCTGCTGCAGGTGAGCATCTGTGTCTCCTCATGGGGCAACAGGAATAATAATGACCAACATTTATTGAGTGCTCATCATGTGCCAGACATGATTTCGAGCGCTCTTTTCCTTTCTTTATTTTATTTTATTTTATTTTATTTATTTATTTATTTATTTATTTATTTATTTATTTATTTATTTTTGAGACAGTGTCTTGCTCTGTCACCCAGGCTGGAGTGCAGTGGTATGATCTCGGCTCGCTGCAACCTCCACCACCTGGGTTCAAGCAATTCCCCCTGCCTCAGCCTCCCAAGTAGCTGGAATTACAGGCACCCACCACCACCATGCCTGGCTAATTTTTGTATTTTTTAGTAGAGATGGGGTTTTGCCATGTTGGCCAGGCTGGTCTTGAACTCCTAACCTCCGGTGATCCGCCCTCCTTGGCCTCCCAAAGTGCTGGCGTTACAGATGTGAGCCACCTCGCCTGGCCCAAGCACTCTTAAACTTAATTAATTTTCACAACAACCTGCGAGGTCAGCACTATTATTATTATTCCCAATTTACAGACAAGGCAACTGAGGCATGGAGAGGTGATGTGGTCAACACAGAGCTTTGTAACAGGGAAGTAGGGGGACTGAGACTTGAACCCAGGCCCTTTGGCTCCCACTGCATGGCATCCCCTCTTGGGGAGGCTGAGGGTTGCTGTCCTTAGTTGCCTCCAGACCTAAGCATGACCAGGTGTCAGAAACACTAGTTGGGGCCGGGGCTGCCCTAGAACCCCAAGGCCTACTGAGAAAGAGGAGGGAGATAGCATGGCGCCGAGGCCGCAAGGGCACCATCAGCTTCTTGTCTGGCCAGAGGCAGATGTCAGGCCCCTGGAGACTCACAGCCAGAACCTGAAGCTGAGTCCACCCAGCCTGGCACGGCCTTCATCAGCTTTTGTTGACTGGCGGGGGAGCCTGAGAGTGTCTGCAGCAGGGGGCTTCTGAGCATGCTCGTGGTGGGGTGCGTGGCTGCAGTCCAGTCCCACCCCTTCCCCTTCCCGACGGGCCACTCTAGTTTGGACGCATGCAGTGTGGCTGGCCGGGGTAGCTCACGGCAGCTTTGTTTTGGCTCCAGATCTGGAAGGTAGAGGACAGCTTTTACATTCGGTTTGAGTGGTGGGAACAGTGCTCTGGCCCAGGCCACGTCCTGCCACAAACTAAGACCTGGTGGTCCCTGCCTGCCTTTGTGGCCTCATGGACCTCCCCACCTGAGGCCAGGGAGCACCTGTCTCAGCGGCAGGAGGCAGCTCCACTGTCAGCTGTTGCTCTCACTAGAGTTCCTCATCTGAACGATCCTGGAGAACGAGGTTAAGTTCTTGGCCTCTAGCCTAATCCAGAACAACTATCTTGCTGAAGAGCCTAGTGCAGCCTCCTAGGCTATATCTAGCCAAAGGGGCCAGACCCCACCCCAGGACCACCAAGAACTACATGGGATATTATTACTGGTTATACCTAACTGTCCCAACCAGGCTTACCTCCTGTAATAGCCATGAGGGTTCTTTGGGACCCCTGCCAGGGCAGAGGCATGCAAAGCTCAAGAATCTCTCCCCTCTTGTTGGCTCTGCAACATATTCAGTCCAAGTTCACCATGGTGCATCATGGTGAAGGCTGTTCTGCTGCAGGAGGACTCTGTGGTCCCCACCCCTGACCCTGACCTAGGCCCCTCACAGGCCAACTGGATCCATTTACTTGCATCTCATGCCAGCCTGGTCATCACCAGATGAAATTAACCCAGAGATGAGAGCAAAGCTGCTCAGCACGAGAGACTCTGAAGGCTTGGCGGTACCACTGTGGGGCACTGGCATTGGAAGACTGCATACTCCATGCAGCCCCAGAGTCTGCAGCTACTGTGGTGTTGGGGATGAGCTGCCAGCACCAAATGCAGGCTCTGGCTCCTGGGCCACTAGTAATACCAAGGTCACCCCTTATGCTGGAAACCTGAAGCCCCTGGCTGAGCCCCAGGGTCTCTAGGACGACAGTTGGCAGCAGAGAGGTGCTTGGTAGAGCACAAACTTTACTAAGCCAAGGGTGTGGCAGCAGAGAGGCCCTGTCTTACACCAGCAGAGCCATCCCTGTGCCGGATGTCTAGAGAGTGTCCCTAGCGGGTGACCCTCAGGACACACGGCCTTGCCCAGCAGGGAGATCCTAGCCAGCCGTGTAGACCTGAGGTCCCATCAGTGTTGCCTCCTTTTCTGACCCCTGAGCACCCCAGAAAGCTGTGACCTGATGTCCTGGTGTCCCCATGTTCCAGGCCAAGCCACCATCACACCAACACTTGGCCCTCACACTCTCCAAGGCTGTTCACATCCAGCACTGGCTTCAGGAATGAGCTCCTATTCCATCAACCCCTTCCCTCCTATGATTATGTCTCATGGCCCCCGGAAGGGCTCTCACGAGGGAGGGCTCTCCAGGACAATACTCTTGGCCTTGCCCACCCCTTCAAACCAACAGTGGCTGGAACTGGAATGTGTGAATGGAATATTCAGCATACCTTGAGGCCTTAGTCCTATGCACAGTGGCCCCAGTTATCCCCCCTCCACAGCTGAGCTCCCCTTTACACCTCCTCCAAGAACCTCCTCTCCTCCCTGCCTCCTCATGCCAACGCCACCTTAGGGGAGGCCCTGCAGGACACCCTGGACAATGGACACTGGTCCCAAGGGGGCCCATCCAGGATGGGGGTGCCATCCTGGGCTGTCTTCCTTCTTGCCCTAGCCATGCTTGCTGCTAACCCCAGGGTCTCCTGGATCCCTAATCCTGCACCTCCAACTCCAGGGAACACAAGGACCCATTCTGCCCCTGACTAGCCCTGTCTGCCAGGGTTCATACTCACTCCCTGCATCTCCCTGAGCCACCTTGGTGATGGGGGTTGGCATCCCAACACCATCGAAGGCAGCTCCAGGCTGAGGTGGAAGGAGGAAGACTTGGGAAGCATGTGAGGGAGCCCTGTTCCCACCTTGCGCAGGCTCCGAAGCTCCTTATGGCCTTCCCCCAGGTGACCCTGGAGCAGCCAGTCTCCAGGTGTCTGGGCACCTGCCGAGACCCTCTAGCCTCTCTACAGAGACTTTTCCCTAGTACATTCTGGGATGGAAGAACAGGAGAGGGAAAGAGGCAGGAAGGGCCTTTCTCCAGGCCCCATAGCAGGCGAGGACAGCATTATGTGTCTTTTTGCTACATTCTGCTGTAGAACATTTAGGCTCCATCTGACCAGCACCTGAGCCAACCAGTCTGCCCTGCCCTTCTCTCATCTTTGCATTCTCCAGTTTTAAAAAGTCCTGGGGCTGCGGGCTAGAGAGCAAGAAAAACGAGAAGGCTGCCCTCAAGGTGCTGCAGGAGGAGTACCGGAAGCTGGGGCCCTTGTCCTTCGCGGAGATCAACGTGCTGATCTGCTTCTTCCTGCTGGTCATCCTGTGGTTCTCCCGAGACCCCGGCTTCATGCCCGGCTGGCTGACTGTTGCCTGGGTGGAGGGTGAGACAAAGTAAGTCTTGGATTCAATAGAAATCGCTGGCTTAGGGCCAGGCGCGTTGGCTCACACATGTAATCCCAGCACTTTGGGAGGCTGAGGTGGGTGGGTCACTTGAGGTCAGGAGATCGAGACCATCCTGGCCAACATGGTGAAACCCTGTCTCTACTAAAAATACAGAAAATTAGCGAGGCATGGTGGCACATGCCTGTAGTCCCAGCTACTTGGGAGACTGAGGCAGGAGAATCACTTGAACCCAGGAGGCAGAGGTTGCAGTGAGCCCAGATCGTGCCACTGCACTCCAGCCTGGGCAACAGAGAGAGACTCCGTCTCAAAAAAAGAGAAAGAAAGACACCACTGGCTTAGTGCACTAGTGCCTAAATGCTGCTGGTCTCGGCTACAGGTGGCAAGAGGAATGTGGGCCAGGCACTCATGCTTGGTCAAGACTTTTCCTCTTTTGGGAGCTGGGTTTCAGAGAGCACTCTGTTGGTTTCATGACTCATTTTTGTTTTCTGACCAAGCTCCACAATAAGACCCTAATGTGTTCCTGTGGTATCCTCTCCTCCCTGAGTAGGCTGAGCAGAAAATCCTTGGCCAGGCAGGGTGGCCAGAGCTGTGATGAGAGAGATTTCTTGGGCTAGGAGTAGGGTTCCCAGAGCTCTAGTTTCCAAATCTCTGCTCTGCCATCTTCCCTTTCTCATCTTCACATCTGGTCAAATCCCTCCAAAGGCACACATCTAGGGAGCTTCATAGACAGAGACTTGGCAAAGGGGGTACATGTAGTTTCTCTCCTGGCTAAGACGTTGTCAGAATGGAAGAAAGGATGAGAAACATGTACATCCTAGAAAAGGCAGAAGATGTGGGCAGGGAGATGCTGGTATGATGGCCATTTCGTTTTGAAGGTCGGCTTAGGTCAGCACCAAAGTCTTCATGGTCACCCTGGTGAACCCAGACAGAATTCTAGAGAACCTGGTCAAGAAGAGGTCCTGAAATACACTTATGGAGAATGCACGCTGAGAGGGGGAAGTAAACTGCTTAGGATCACCCAAAGTTGGTGGTCAAGAGTGTGGGCATCTTGATTTCTAGCCAGGATTCAGTCTCCCATACCACTCTTATTTTTTTATTTTTTTGAGACAGAGTCTCACACTGTCACCCAGGCTGGAGTGCAATGGCATGATCTCAACTCACTGCAACCTCCACCTCCCAGCAATTCTCCTGCCTCAGCCTGCCGAGTAGCTGGGATTACAGGCGCCCGCCAGCATGTCTGGCTAATTTTTTGTATTTTTAGTAGAGACGGGGTTTCACTATGTTGGCCAGGCTGGTCTTGAACTCCTGACCTCGTGATCCGCCCGCCTCAGCCTCCCAAAGTGCTGGGATTACAAGTGTGAGCCACTGCACCTGGCCACCACTCTTGACCTTGACTTTTAAGGCTGTGAGCCTGTTTCTTTGCATAGAAGCATTTGGACACAGAACTGCCGGAGTTGTGATGGGTTTGTTGAGTGACTGTCTCTGTCGCAGATGAGCTGTGCTTTTCCCCACCTAGGTATGTCTCCGATGCCACTGTGGCCATCTTTGTGGCCACCCTGCTATTCATTGTGCCTTCACAGAAGCCCAAGTTTAACTTCCGCAGCCAGACTGAGGAAGGTAAGTCTCCTGTTCTGATCGCCCAGTCATCAGGACTGGAGCCCTGGAACCAAAGGGTCACTATGGGATGCCTTGGGCCCTAGAGGGAGAAAATCCCATCATATCCAAGAGGATTGGCTACAAAAGCCTGGGAAACAGTGGCTTTCAAGCCACCGGTGGTATTATTTAGTGCAAAATATCTTTTTTGCTTTTTAACATTTGAATTTAACATTTGAAATTTTATTTATATTACAACAGGAACAGAAAATGTTTCAAATTTTCCATAACACTGATTTCCATTCAGCACAATTTTTTGTTTTCTCTCTTCCTCCCAGTCTTTGCTAATATGCCTGTATATTACATTATAATCAACACACACAGTTTGAATCCTATTTGTTTGTTGTTTCTTCTACCACTTTTGATTGATATTACACTATAAACATTTCCCACTATTGCTACAGTCTTCAAATATATTTTCTCTAATAATGGCATTATATTGCGTTGAGGGGTTGTAATCATTCTCCTGTTATAGAACATTTTGGCTGTTTTGAATTTTTTATTTTCATAAATTAATGTTTTCTTGCATATAGCTTTTCCTTTGAGGGTATTTTTTCTTTAGGATAAACTTCTAGGAGTAATATTGCTGGGGTGATAGAATACAAAGTCTTAATGGCCCTTAAAATGTATGGCCAAATTGCTTTTCAAAAAGGTCATACCAATTTACGATGCTATTGGCAGTGTGTGTAATAGTTTGATCATATCCTCACCAGCAATGTATATATTATTGTAAACTTTAGCTAATTTATAAGTAGGAGATGGTACCTCATTGTCCTTATTAGCTTTATTCCCCCTTGATTAGATTTCTTTTGTCTTCTAATGCTGCTCTGGTGTGTGTGTGTGTGTGTGTGTGTGTGTGTGTGTGTGTGTGTGTGTGTGTGTTTCTTTTTCTTCCCAGAAAGGAAAACTCCATTTTATCCCCCTCCCCTGCTGGATTGGAAGGTAACCCAGGAGAAAGTGCCCTGGGGCATCGTGCTGCTACTAGGGGGCGGATTTGCTCTGGCTAAAGGATCCGAGGTAACTTCTCCAGCCACAGGCTGCCCAGAGCCCTCTTCTTCGTCAAGAGGGTGGCGTTTCTCCACCCTTCCATCCCTGGGCTTGTGTGTTTCTGTGCCTGCATCCTTCGTATAACCGCACATTCCTTGAGGACATGGACTCTGTCTTGTCATCTAGGAACTCTACACCACACACAGGGCCTGGAAGACAGAAAGTAACCTTTGAGCGATTGCAGGAATGAGTGAATGAGTGACCGTGGTTAGCCAAGAGAGGCAGAGGACACTGTCAGTTACCCTCTGGGGCTTGATCACAATAATCTCTGCTTTGATTTGTCTGAGGGAAATCTTTCTTTCCAATCCTTGTCAATATTGTTTGCTACTACTTTTGGTCCTTCTACTGGCTACTTAACATGGTAGCTACTTCAAAATTTTTCTTTAGCTAAGTATGTAGCAGCGTAGGAGGTGAGGAACATGTTGGAAAACACACAAAAATATAACTTTCTTTACCTCCTTCTTTCCCTCCTGGGGAAGAAATGAGCCAGAGGGAGGGATGAGCTAGCTTGCTGCTGCTGTCCTCCAACCAACCATCTACCTACCCAAGTATCCAGGAGTGTAATAGACAGACTTGGTCTAGTTATTGCTGTTTCTTCAATATCTAGGACACAGCCTGGTGCCTAGTGGGTGCTAAGTTTTTGCGGAGGTGAACAAATCCATCCATCTAGTCACCTCTCCATCCATCATCCATGCATCTATTCATGTCTTCATCCATCCATCCGTCCGTCCATCCGTCCATCCATCCATCCATCCATCCATCCATCCATCCATCCATCCATCTGTCCATCCATCCACCCATCTATCTATCCACCCATCTATCTATCCATCCATCCATCCACCCATCTATCCATCCATCCATCCATCCATCCATCCATCCATCCATCCATCTATCCATCCATCCATCCAACATTCCTATTATGTCCCTAGTGTTATGCCAGGCACAGAGATTACAGAGGAGATTGAGATACGGTCCCTGTTCGTGGCAGACTTCACAGACTAGGGAGGGGCACATATATGAAAGGGCATTTCAGGAAGTAGCACACGAGCAAGGGAAAAATGTGAGGTATTTAGCTGAGGAGAAGTAGAAGATGAGGCTGGTAAGGCTACCAGAAGCCACTTCTCTGAGGGCCCCAAGATAGAGGGGTGTGGACTTGATCGTGAATGCAGTAGACAGCCACTGAAGGACTGAGGCCAGGGGGTGAGTTGGTCAGATCTGCACATGAGGAAATCACTCTGATGTCTGGAGTGGGGGCCTGGGCTGGGCAGGGCTTGGAGGAGAACTAGCTGAGACTCTGCAGCCTTCCATCTCACTCAGGCTCAGAACTTTGGACTCTGTGGACATTCTCTCCTCCTTTGGCCCCCAGCTCAGCACAGTCTCCAGCTTTACTTCGGACTCAGACTATTCCTGCTCAGCCTTCGTTGCTGACTTCTCTGTTCTCCCTGAAACAGGAGTGTCTGCCCAGGCTCTGTCCTTGGCCTCTCCTCTTTTTACACTTCATTCTCTCCCTGGACAATCTCTTCTCAGCCCAAAGCCCTAAATCTAAACCTTCAATTTCTGGTTGAAATCATTCTCCTGAGCTTCCAAAACTGTGGAGCACTGAAGAGGAGGAGATGGATGTGAGACATTTGGGTGACTTGGTGACTGACTGGGTATAAGGAAGGAGGGGAACAGAGACCGGCAGCATGACTCCCAGCCTGCTGGGCTGGATGGCTGGTGGATGGTGAGTCCATTCACCAAACTGGGAGGCCCAGAGAGAGAAGCAGATTCTGGGCTATGGAGGATGAATGCAGGGTGGAGCATGTTGAGTCTGTTGTGCTCTTGGGACATCTGGATGGACATTTCCAGAAGGCATATGGGTATGTAAATCCACATAGTAGGCCAGCTGGCTGGAAATACAGATTTAGGAGACAGCAGAGTGAGGACGGGGATGAAAATGGTGGGAATGGATGAGGTCACCTATGAGGTGTAGAGAGAGAGGGTCGGGAGGGGAGGATGGGCCAAGCTTGCCCTGGCCCTGAAGGAACTGCAAGCTGGGAGCGCTGAGATGACTGCCCTCCTGGTGCTTCCCAGGCCTCGGGGCTGTCCGTGTGGATGGGGAAGCAGATGGAGCCCTTGCACGCAGTGCCCCCGGCAGCCATCACCTTGATCTTGTCCTTGCTCGTTGCCGTGTTCACTGAGTGCACAAGCAACGTGGCCACCACCACCTTGTTCCTGCCCATCTTTGCCTCCATGGTAAGTAACCTGACAGTGGGGAGGAGCCCTTCCATTTCACAGGAACACATGGCCATATTGTGGGTCCCTGACGAGGCAGCAATGTCCAGGCCAGACTCAGACCAGGCTTTGGAGACCCAGGTCTGACTGTGACGTGGATTTGTGGACCCTGGATGCCTCTGCCCCTGAGGCCTCCACTGCTTTGCCACTCCTCTTTGTACCCCTCCTGCTGACCAAAGCACCAACCATGGACCAAGTGCTCAAATTTATTTTATAAATCTAATTGGATTATTTTTCAAGCTGGGGAGACAGGACTTGGGCTAAGGAGGAGCAGGCCAGTGCCGTGGTCTCTGAGCATGTAGCACAGGTGTGCAGGAGGACTGCAGACTGGGAGCACCACTGGCTGGAAACCCCAGGAAGAGGCCTTGGAGGAGTGGGGACTTGGGAGTAGGTAGGAAGGGAGAGAGAATTCTGGGAAGATGGAGCAGCACAAGGAAAGGCAATGGTGCACATGACTGAGGACTCCTGGAAGCCTGGCTTGGTGAGCACAGGGATAAGGGATCCTGGGGAGTGGAGAGAGGTAGCTGTCGGTTGTGGGAAAAGCTGCTGAGTGCCAGGCTAAGGCATTCTGTTCTATGGACTAGCATGTTTTTGAGTTGGGAGTGAGAAGAAAGCAGAGCTTATAGGAAAATCAGTGGCTATGGTTTTTTTTTTTTTTTTTTTTTTTTTTTTTTTTTTGCATTTCCTTCTGTCATCCATTGCAAAGACGTACCAGCTTCAGGGTAGTATGGAAAGATCCCTGGTCTCGCAGTCAGAAGACCCGAGTTCAAGATGTGGGATCTCTGAACATGGCCCTTCAGTTCTTTCTTCCGAGAGCTGTGCTGATGGCCAAGTAAGATGAGGGCTATGAAAAGCCTCTGTAGACTGCAAAATGAGCATGGGAGAGGCTGTCATTATTCTGGAATTGGGAGACAGATTTACAGAGGGCCTGAACACAGGATTGAAGGTGGTGAATTTCCATTCGGCTGCCTGGGCGTCTGCATGTATAAAAAGCAAACCTAAGTGGTTTTTTTCTCCTCCAAGTGAAGATGAAAGTGTTAAAAATAGCAAGGAGGTGAAAGTGTTCAAAATAGCAAAGTGGCCTGTCTCCTCTTCTCCTAAGCAGACTGTCCAAACAGACGCCCAGTAGAAGGAGCACCTTTTGATACTGGGCACGTGGTGGTGATGCCTCCTCTCTCCTAGCACAGGCCGTGGCTTTGTCATCTCCAGCCCTAACTGGGAGCACCGAGGGTTCCAACCAGGCAAATGCAGGCCCTAACGGGCTCTTTGAAAACGGGCTTTTCTAGAACCAGGAACCTCAAGTAAAAACTCCCCCAGCTACCTCTAAGGCCCATCACACTCCTGTCTCACGCCCACCTATGAGAAAGGAAAAGGTGATGGTCATTGAGCTGGGCTGCAGAGGAGTGTGAGGTGCAGACACCATGAGGTACCCACAGCCAGGAAAACGAGGATGGTCGGGGAGACGCGCCAGCGAAGAGCTGGGCCCCTGCGTGGGACCCCTCAGTGGTTCCCAGGGGGCGTGGGACTTGCGCAGTCCTTTCAGAGGGCTGTTTACCAACAGGAACCGTAACATTAAACCTGCTCAGACCCCTTGACTCAGCAATTTCATGTCTGGGAATATATCTTAGGAAAATAATCAGAGATGCCTACCAACATATGTGATGATGATGTATGACAGAATTATTATACAAATATATCCATAGTAACAGGGGGTTTGCTGAAATAAATTATCATATATTCATATAATATGACATTATCAGGCCATTAAAAATCACAGTTTCAAAGAGTAATAAAATGGGAACATGCTCATAGTATAGTTTTTTAAAATTGCAGATGGTATATGGCTAAAAATGTCTAATAATGCAAAGATGTATACAGACCTTAATCCTCTAGCCTCCTCCCTAGAGATGACCTCTGTTAATTTCTCAAATATTTTTCTGGATATTTTACACACTCACACACTTTTTTTGAGACAGAGTTTCACTCTTGTCACCCAGGCTGGAGTGCAATGGTGTGATCTTGGCTCACTGCAACCTCCACCTCCCGGGTTCAAGAGATTCTCCTGCCTCAGCCTCCCGAGTAGCTGGGATTACAGGTGCCTGCCACCTTGCCTGGCTAATTTTTTGTATTTTTAGTAGAGACGGGGTTTCACCACATTGGTCAGGCTGGTCTCAAACTCCTGACCTCAGGTGATCCGCCTGCCTTGGCCTCCCAAAGTGCTGGGATTACAGGCGTGAGCCACTGCGCCCGGCCATTCATCTTAATTTTTAAAAAATCTAACCATGAAGCCTTGGTTATCTTGGAGAGCTTTCCTGATTAGCACAAAAAGAAAAAAAAATCCAATTCTTTACAGCTGCATACTATTCCATTATTTGTATGTGTCATATTTTATTTAACCATCCTGCTATTAGTGACCATTGAGTTGGCTTCCTGTGTTTTGCCGTTACATGGTTGCAACAAACATGTTTGCATGTGTCTGCCCTCATGTGCATGATACATGATTGATTTGATAGATTTTAGGAATTACATCATTCATTCATACACTCAGCAAATATTTAATGAGTGCCTACTCTCTGATAGGTGCTGTTGGATGTGGCTAAATTTTAAAGTGTAGAATTTAAAAGGTGGCTACCAAATTCCATGTGCAAAATGACCCCACGCATGTATAAAAACACACACATCCACAGATTTATATGCGGGAGAGAAGATGTGGTCCCTGGCCTCTAGGCTCTCTCAGTCTGTGGCAAGACAGACAGACATGTGCACGCGGCACTGTAAGGTTGAGCACAGTCTAAGTACTCAGCATGGTCTCTGGCACATAGTAGGTGCCCAAGAAATACATGTCGAATGAATTGAGGGGGTAAGGCCTTCTAGGGCAGGTGGCCTCTGACCTCAGCCTTCAGTGTTCCGTAGGTGGAATTATCTGCCAGAGACGTGGCAAAAGGGAGAGGAACCAAGACTGAGGCACAGAGGTTCAAACGTACCCGGCACATTCAGAGAATCCTTTTCAGAATCACGTCCCCAAGAGCTTCTGTGTTCTGTACGGTGATGTTGCAGTGCTGTTTTTCCGCAGTCTCGCTCCATCGGCCTCAATCCGCTGTACATCATGCTGCCCTGTACCCTGAGTGCCTCCTTTGCCTTCATGTTGCCTGTGGCCACCCCTCCAAATGCCATCGTGTTCACCTATGGGCACCTCAAGGTTGCTGACATGGTAACACAGCTGTTTTTATTTACTCCCGTCGGACTATAACGCTGTTGTCATAAGGGATGCCCCATTTATGAATGACAGAGTTTCAAAACGATGTCATGTGACTTGGGAATGCCACGGAACATCCAGACCTGTAGCCATTGTTGACATTTATAATGCAGCTTTTCTTCTTTTTCTGAGATGATCTCAAGCCTCACACACTGTTCTTTCTCTGAGGTGGGTTATAGACTCTCCCACCTGGAGAAGCCTGTGCAGGCACCAGGGGAGTCCTTGGAAGGGGTGAAGGTGGGGCTGAGGGACTCATATGGCCAAGGATGAACTTGACAAATTAGCAAGAACCATGAAGATAGGCAGGGCAGGCTTAGGCAGCAGGGGGATGCTAATGACAGTCACAGAGATTTGTAGGGGTGCCTGAAGAGGTAGAAGCAGGGAGAGGGAGAGAGAGAGCACTGCCTGGGAGTAGATGATGCCTTGGAAACAAATGTAGTCAGAGGAAGAACTCTTCATTAGCTCTGTCACCTTTGCTGGGAGAAGGGCAGCTTTGCAGCTCTGGGCTGGGAAAGAGGCAAGTGTTTGAGCCCAAGAGGCCAGAAATGTACCTGGGACCAATCGGGTGTTCGTTATCTCAGAGCCTCTGCTGGGTATCTCAGGGACTCCATGAGCATTTTCAAAAAAAAAGGTGGGTCCCAGAAACCATGGACTGCAAACTTGACTCCAATCCCCAGTAAAATATCTACAACAGGGTAGTGAAGCGATGGTTAGTGACCATGAGGGAAGCTTGCAGAGCAGGCATCAGAAAGAGCCTGAGGAGGTCCACAGGGAAGCTGGCACGTCCTTGTAGGATAGTTAAGGCACTGGGGTGAGCAATGAACCTGGACTCACGGAACACTGGGCTCTGTGACCGTTTCCCTGAATGGCCTAAGCTGTTGCCTCCTGTCACTTCTCTGAGGTCATTTTCCAAATGCGCACGGGCATAGAGAACCCATCCACTCTGCCTACTTCCCAGGGATGCCTTGAGCACTGAGGATACCTGGGGGACATGAAGTCGCACTGTCCTGGGGGTCGGGACACCCCAGCCAGGGACAGAGCATGGCACAGGGACATCGAGGCCCAGTGAGCCGACCCTTTGTCCTCCTCTCTGAGAGCACTAGTCCCCAGCAGGCCTCAGGGTGCTGACTCTGTCTCTTTTCCAGGTGAAAACAGGAGTCATAATGAACATAATTGGAGTCTTCTGTGTGTTTTTGGCTGTCAACACCTGGGGACGGGCCATATTTGACTTGGATCATTTCCCTGACTGGGCTAATGTGACACATATTGAGACTTAGGAAGAGCCACAAGACCACACACACAGCCCTTACCCTCCTCAGGACTACCGAACCTTCTGGCACACCTTGTACAGAGTTTTGGGGTTCACACCCCAAAATGACCCAACGATGTCCACACACCACCAAAACCCAGCCAATGGGCCACCTCTTCCTCCAAGCCCAGATGCAGAGATGGTCATGGGCAGCTGGAGGGTAGGCTCAGAAATGAAGGGAACCCCTCAGTGGGCTGCTGGACCCATCTTTCCCAAGCCTTGCCATTATCTCTGTGAGGGAGGCCAGGTAGCCGAGGGATCAGGATGCAGGCTGCTGTACCCGCTCTGCCTCAAGCATCCCCCACACAGGGCTCTGGTTTTCACTCGCTTCGTCCTAGATAGTTTAAATGGGAATCGGATCCCCTGGTTGAGAGCTAAGACAACCACCTACCAGTGCCCATGTCCCTTCCAGCTCACCTTGAGCAGCCTCAGATCATCTCTGTCACTCTGGAAGGGACACCCCAGCCAGGGACGGAATGCCTGGTCTTGAGCAACCTCCCACTGCTGGAGTGCGAGTGGGAATCAGAGCCTCCTGAAGCCTCTGGGAACTCCTCCTGTGGCCACCACCAAAGGATGAGGAATCTGAGTTGCCAACTTCAGGACGACACCTGGCTTGCCACCCACAGTGCACCACAGGCCAACCTACGCCCTTCATCACTTGGTTCTGTTTTAATCGACTGGCCCCCTGTCCCACCTCTCCAGTGAGCCTCCTTCAACTCCTTGGTCCCCTGTTGTCTGGGTCAACATTTGCCGAGACGCCTTGGCTGGCACCCTCTGGGGTCCCCCTTTTCTCCCAGGCAGGTCATCTTTTCTGGGAGATGCTTCCCCTGCCATCCCCAAATAGCTAGGATCACACTCCAAGTATGGGCAGTGATGGCGCTCTGGGGGCCACAGTGGGCTATCTAGGCCCTCCCTCACCTGAGGCCCAGAGTGGACACAGCTGTTAATTTCCACTGGCTATGCCACTTCAGAGTCTTTCATGCCAGCGTTTGAGCTCCTCTGGGTAAAATCTTCCCTTTGTTGACTGGCCTTCACAGCCATGGCTGGTGACAACAGAGGATCGTTGAGATTGAGCAGCGCTTGGTGATCTCTCAGCAAACAACCCCTGCCCGTGGGCCAATCTACTTGAAGTTACTCGGACAAAGACCCCAAAGTGGGGCAACAACTCCAGAGAGGCTGTGGGAATCTTCAGAACCCCCCTGTAAGAGACAGACATGAGAGACAAGCATCTTCTTTCCCCCGCAAGTCCATTTTATTTCCTTCTTGTGCTGCTCTGGAAGAGAGGCAGTAGCAAAGAGATGAGCTCCTGGATGGCATTTTCCAGGGCAGGAGAAAGTATGAGAGCCTCAGGAAACCCCATCAAGGACCGAGTATGTGTCTGGTTCCTTGGGTGGGACGATTCCTGACCACACTGTCCAGCTCTTGCTCTCATTAAATGCTCTGTCTCCCGCGGAAAGCTCCACTGTGCTGCTGACTTGTCTCTGGTTTTCTGCAGTGTGGGGAGCCCAGGGAGGTGGATGAATGAACAGTTAGTTACGCCCTGCCCACCTGCTGGGTGCCAGGCCTTCCTGTCCCTGTTGAATCCACTAGTTATCTCGTTCGATCTTTGCAGCAACCCTGTGAGATAGGAAGGTGTTATTATCTTGCTTTGTCTTTCAAAAAAAAAGCGAGGCTCAGGGAGGCCAAGGGAAGTGTCCAAAGTCACACATCAAGTTACTGGCAGTTACAGTTCCAACCAAGAGCTTCCAACTCCATACCCCCTGCTCCTTCTGCTAGCCATGAAGGGCTTTGGCCTTATAGGGCTTGTAGGGAAAGGTGAGTGGCCAAGAGCAAGTCCATGCCAAGGGAAGATCTCCAAACATGAGTCCCTGTCTGTTGCCTCCCCTGAGATAGGCACAGGACAAGTGATCAATGAGACAGGGTGGTCCTTGCCCTAAGAAGCAAAGTGTTTGGTTGGGGAGGGAAGTAGGGAAAAGGCTGCCACCTCCCCCCACCAAGGTACAACTGCTGACTTCCTTCCTCCCCAGCCCTCTATCACTGCCCTCTGTGCCGCTGCCGTTGACTGGCCTGCCCCACCAGACTGAGGGCTCTGACTGCCCACCGAGTCTAGTGTCAGCATTATGGCTGACCCAGAGCAGGCTATACAGTTAGTATGATGGATAAATAAATGATTGGTCAGTGCAGTCAATTAGGTGCAAGCTGTTGGTAGTAGGCAAGGTCAATGAAGGTCATCCAAGGTGGGCATTGAAGGATGAGTAGAATGGCCAGGGGTAATGGGGGAGGAACTGGTGGGTGGGTGGAGGACTCTTCCAGACACCATGTGGTTGAGGGCTGACAAAAAGCTGGGTGGAGGGCTTCCAGAGTGCCAAGCTCCCACCTGAAGAGGCTGACCAGAGGCCAATCCTAAACAACTCTAGGTGTTGGCTGGAGTTGCACTAAAGTGTATGGCCTCCCCAACCAAACCCTTTGCTTCTTAGGGCAAGGACCACCCTGTCTCATTGATCACTGTCCTGAGCCTATCTCAGGGGAGGCAAAAGAGAGGGACCTGTATTCAGAGATCTTCCCTTGGCATGACTTGCTTTTGGCCACTTACCTTTCCCTACAAGCTCTATGAGGCCAAGGCCCTTCATGGTTAGTGTAAGGAGCAGTGGGCATGGAGTTGGAAGATCTGGGTTGGAACGGTAACTGCCACTAACTCGATGTGTGATTCTGAACACTTAACTTAGCCATACATGCTCTCTTATTTGCTTTTGATGGCAAATAAGAGAAGGCCCAGCAAACAGTGGCTTAAACCAGAAGGTCAATTAATGTTTACTTTTCAGGAAGTCTGTAGGTAGATGGTTGCTGGCATTGGCCCAACAGCTCATTTCAGCCTCCAAGGACTTGCGCTCCATAGTCCACTCTGTCATCTTAAAGCCTTCACACTTTTACCCCCATGCTTGACCCCCAGGCTACATACACAGCTGCTTTCCTTCAAGGCAGAAAGGTGGATGGGGTGAGGGCATGATGGTGTCAACTGCATCTTTGTCTTTTACTAGGAAAGTAAAAGCTTCCTCAGAAGTCCCATGCAGACTTCCCTTTATGTCTTCTGGGCCACAAGTGGGTCACTTGCCTACCCTTAGACCCATCATTCACAAAGGGGGATTGGAGTCCCATTGGAATACTGTGACCAATTAAGACTCATCTCTCGGGGTTGGGGAATTAGCCTATGTTTCCCCAAATTAAGCTATTTCCACCCACTACAAAATCTGGGCTCTGGCAGGACAAAACGGTGGGAGGAGCTGTTGGGTAGGTGATGATAAGTGTCTGGTATGATCACTCCATGAGTCTTGAGAGGCCCTCTTTCCGTAGAATTCAGTAGGAGCATGTTGCTAGGTAGGAAGTGAGTACATGGTTTTCTGGTCAAGAGCTTCAACAATGCCTCCAATTCCCAACAGGTAGACCTTCTGCAGGGGGTCCCGTGGATTGGGAGGCTAGAGTCTGAGCCATGCACAGAGCTCAGTCCTGACATCAGACACCAAATCAGTCATGCTGCACTCTGGGTCTCAGTTTCCTTCATGAAGGCGTTAGACCAGAGGGTCTCTAAGGGCTTTCCCCAGAGTCACGGATCCTCTTACTCCAGCTGACCCTCCCTCTGCTTGGGCCAGATGGAGCCCCCATCCCAATCTCCCATGCTGTCTCATCTTGGAGCCTGTTCCAAGGTCCCACTGCCTGCTTCCCTATGGGGGTTCGCTGAAGGCCATCTCAGGCCTTTCCCCTATCTATATCTTGCCTCTGACATTTTATAAAAAGGGTCCACCCTGGGCCTTTGAGTTCTCTCTTCTTAGTGCTTGGATCAGACATCTGGGCTTGAGGTTAGCTGAACACACAATGTTGACCAGGATTGCCCTCTTAATTTTTTTTGGCAGGGACTTATGGCTCCACAAAGATTCTTTGCATTCCAAAATTAAGTCCCTGGGCTCCTTAGCCTTTGACCTCTGAATGAGATGCTCCTGAGGGCAGGACATATGTCTCCTCCCCTGTTCATCATCAGCTGAGAGCTTTCTTGGAGAAGGACTGGGGTCTCCCCATCTGGCATCTACCTGGGACAGGTGAAGTCTTCTCTCCTCCCCACCATCTCTTGCACATAAACAAAACAACTCTTTGATCTGGGTTCCAAGCAGGATACCAGCTCACTAGCACAAAGCCCAATCCTTGAGATGAACAAATCAGGATGTTCTTGGGTAAGACCTGTAATGGCATGTTCTTGTCTGTGGAAACAAAGTCCAAATGCTGTATTGTCTGATTACAAACTACAGCTGGTGGCCTGGTGAGGTGGCTCATGCCTGCAACACCTTGGGAGGCTGAGACGGGTGGATCACGAGGTCAGGAGTTCAAGAACAGCCTGGCTAAGATGATGAAACCCCGTCTCTACTAATAATACAAAAATATTAGCCGGGCACGGGGGTGGGTGCCTGTAATCCCAGCTACTCAGGAGGCTGAGGCAGAGAATTGCTTGAGCCTGGGAGGCAGAGGTTGCAGTGAGCCGAGATCACACCACTGCACCCCAGCCTGGGCGACAGAGTGAGACTCTGTCTGAAAACAAACAAACTACAGCTGGCTGTCCTATTCTTAGTCCACAATCCCTTCCTCCAGGTACTTTCTCCCCTTAGTCACACAGCCTCTGAAAAGGGTTTGTGTCCCAACCTACCAGAAACCTTTTTAAAAATCTATTCACACACACACACACAAGTTTTATCAAGATAAATCCTCCATACCACGGGATGGGCTTTTACATTTCTCAACCGGAAGTTTGCCATTTCAGGCTGAATCTCTGCAATCAAGATTCCGTTTATCTCACTTGGCTTCCTGAGCCAGGACTCAGGTGTACTCTCTTCCCTACCCCAGGAGCATCTTCCAGCAGCTTCCCTGACCTGCTTGTACAAATGCCCCCTTCCAGCTGCAGAGCCACAGGCCACCCATGGCCGGCAGTGGTGTCCCTGCTTCCTGCTATCAAGGGCAGAGAAATATTAAAGTTCAATCTCAGAACACCCTGTTATCTGGTCAAGAAATTTTTAAACTACTTTTTATAGTAAAAAATTAATATGAACACAGTAAAAGAAATTCCAGTGGCACAAAAGGTATTGAGATGTTTGCCTCTCACTTCAGACCTTTAGTCCCCAAACCATCCACACCGAAAGGGAACCGCTGTCAACAGTTTCTTACACATTCTCCTAGAAATATTATATAATCTAGAAACATTATGTAATAGATATCCATTAACTGTATTACATATGGGAGCATACTATGCACATTTTCTGTGCTTGATTCTACCTACCCCCCTCCACCAATTAAGAATTTATTTGGAGATCATTCTATTTCAGGACATACTAAGTTTGGCTAATTGTTTTTATTCAATAGTTAATGTTAGTTTTAAACGGATGTGAGATTAGGCTGAGCGCGGTGGCTCACGCCTGTAATCCCAGCACTTTGGGAGGCCAAGGCGGGCAGATCGCGAGGTCAGGAGATCGAGACCATCCTGGCCAACATGGTGAAACCCTGACTCTACTAAAATACAAAAAATTAGCCGGGCTTGGTGGCGGGGGCCTGTAGTCCCAGCTACTAGGGAGGCTGCGGCAGGAGAATAGCGTGAACCCGGGAGGCGGAGATTGCAGTGAGCCGAGATGGCGCCACTGCACAGACTCCATTTCTCAATAAATAAATAGAGGTGAGATTAAATTTAGAAAACTGCACAGATCTTCAGTGTTCCATCCAATGATTTTGACAAATGCTTACATCTTAGAAACCACATCCAAATTCCACAAGCCTCCTGCCCAGAGTTCTCTCTGCCCTTTCAAGTAACACTTCCTGCGGCAACCACGTTCTGATTTCTGTCACCATGGATGAGTTGTGTCCGTTGAACTTCATAGAAATGGAATCATACAGGAGTATTCTTGGGTCTGATTTATTTTGTTTAATGAAATACTTCTGAAATTCATTCCTGTTGTTGTATATCTGTTCATTTTACTGTTGCTAAATAGTGTTCCTTTGTACGAATATACCACAGTTTGTGTCGTCTCCCATTGGACACGTGGGCTGTTCCAATTTGGGGCTATTATAAATAAAGCCATTATAAACATCTCTGTACAAGTTTCTTTTGTGAGCATATGTTTTCAATTCTCCTGAGGCATACCTAAGAGTGAGCCCCAGTCTTTTTAAAAGCTGCAAGGTTTTCTTTTTTGAGATGGAGTCTCACTCTGTCACCCATGCTGGAGTGCAGTGGCGCGATCTCGGCTCACTGCAAGCTCCGCCTCCCGGGTTCACGCCATTCTCCTGCCTCAGCCTCCCAAGTAGCTGGGACTACAGGCGCCTGCCACCACGCGCAGCTAATTTTTTTGTATTTTTTAGTAGAGACGGGGTTTCACCGTGTTAGCCAGGATGGTCTCGATCTCTTGACCTTGTGATCCGCCTGCCTCGGCCTCCCAAAGTGCTGGGATTACAGGTGTGAAAAGCTGCAAGGTTTTCTATTGTAAGTATGCATCACAGAATAATCAAATTCCCTATTGATGGGCGTTGGGTTGTTTCCAGTGGATTGCTAATGCTGTAATAAGCATATCTATACATACATCTTTGTGCACCTATGTAAGAATAGTTTCTGGCCAGATGCGGTGCCTCACGCTCTGTCACCCAGGCTAGAGTGCAGTGGTGCAATCTCGGCTCACTGCAACCTCCACCTCCCTGGTTTAAGCTAGGTTTACATGCTGGGTTTAAGTGCTGGGATTACAGGCATGAGCCACTGCGCCCAGCCCCAAGAGTTCTTTTTTTATTAATTTGTAAGAAGTCTTTATGTATTTAAGAAATTAGTCATTCAGCTGTCATAGGGATTTTTATAATATATGTGAAGATCTGCTGAGGCTACTTTGTTTATTCTTCTTTTTCATTATTTTTGCCTCGCTATTTTCACATATTTTTCCATAAGAATTTCTAAGTCAGCTTCTTCAGTTCCAAAAAAAAAAAAAAAAAAAATGGGTTGGCATTTATCTCCCTGGCTATCTCTCCTATTCCTCTTCCCCTCACTCACTCCAGGATTTCCTGACTTCAGCAATATTGACATTTTGGACCGAATACTTCTTTGTTGTAAGAGGCTGTTGTGTGCACTGTGGGATACCGAGCAGAATCTTAGCTTCTATTAATATTTAGTAGAGGCCAATAGCAACCCTCTCCCCTTCCAGGTGTGACAATGAAAAATGTCTGTAGACATTGCCAAATGTCCCCTGGAAGGCAAAATTGCCTGTAGTTGAGAGCCACTGACTCACTCTGACCTAGAACCCTGGCCCCTGCTGTCTGGAGCATGCGGGGTCTCCTCCTGCTCCCTCACTGCTCCAATCTTTGCTCAGTGGTCCCTTCTCAGCCTAGTTCAGATGACAACTCCCTCATCTGCTCCACACTCTCTCTCTGCAGCCTCCTGGACTTTTCTCTATTGTACTTTTCATCTTCTGACATACTATGCAATTTACTTTTTATTTGGTCTGTCTCTCCGACCTCTGTAAGAATGTAAGCCCTATGAGAACAGGGATTTTTGTCTGTTTTGTTCACTCCTGTTGCCAACCCCAGAGGGTCAGGCTCTGGGAAGGGGCTCCTTGGAACAGCTCTAGGCTCTTTCCTTTAAGAAGAGGGCTGATGCTCGTCTTTGAGTTCTCCCGTGGGGGCTGGCGACACACAGGCTGAGGTGACCTTACCTTACCTGGCCAGCTCCCCAGCCTAACAGGAAGGGCCATACCAGATGGCCCCTCACCCTGCGATGTTTTCCCTACATGGTCCAGTGGAGGAGGATGTTGGAGGAGAGACTGTTCCTTGGCAGGCTCTGCGAGGACAGAGGGGGAAAAGGCTCTCCTTCCCTTCCTCTGTTTCCTGACTCTTCCACATGGGCCACCCCCGTCCACAGTGCAGGAGTGTCTGGGAGACCGGGAGGCACAGCTGAGCTCCAGGGTCTCCTCGCTGGGTGTAGTTCCTTGCCTGTGAAATGGGCACAGTGACCCTTCTGAGCTTCTGGGGGCTCATGTCAGCCATTGCGGCTCCTCCCCACGCTGTCCTTTTCTGCAGTGCTTCTGAGGATGCCTACCAGGACCACACGAGTCCCAGGTCCACCCCAAGGCACCCTCCAGATGGGGCTGTAGCTGTGACCTGGTGCCACCCAGGGAAGGAGTAAGACTTTTAGAAGCACCAAGCACCAAAATGATTATGTGGCCCCCTCCCTCTTCTTGCATAAGTCAACAGAAAACAAGACTGTGCTTGTGAGGAGACCAGCGCCATTGACTGTGGAGAAAATGCTATGTAGGGTCCTGCCTGCCCCTCTCCCTGCACTGTCTCGGGTACCCCCTCCATGCGGCCACATGGGAGAATACCGGGTGGGGTGTAGAAAACAGCTCTGCTCAGAGCCCAGAGACCTCGTGGACAGGGCAGGTCTGAGGCTTGGTGGGCTGGCCCTGCAGGGAGGCTGGGAGCAGGCTCCCGCCCGCTGCTGGGTTGCGGCAGTGTCCCGCGGTTCGCCACTTCACATTTATAGCTACAGCGCTTCTCAGCTTACTGTCCCTGCGGTGGGAGGCCTGGCTCTCTGGAAACCACAGCTGTGGTTTGCTGGGTGCCTGCCTGAGTGCTGAGCTGTGAGGGAGGCTCAGAATTTTCCCAGGATGGTGAGGCCCAGCCCGCAGCTTCAGGCTTGCCCTGGTCTCTTCCTGGAACCTGACTGAGGCTGGAGGGAGCTGCCAGCATATTGAGGGGCCCCTGGCACCCCTGCTCTAATCTGGTGTTCCAGCAGGAGCAGAACCTTGCCAGAGAGCGGGATGCTCCTCAGGCCATAGTGGGACTCCTGAAGGCAAGGGAATGGACGGAGGAGGTGAGGGAGTCCTGAGGCTGGAGAAAGAGCAGGAGCCAGGGGACAAAGTCCTCTTGGCCCCTGTGGTGCCATAGCCAGTGCTGTTTTCAGAGCCACCAGCTCCTCCCCTGCTGCCAAGAGCCTGGGTGGGCCTATCTGGCCGCTTACAGAACCAGGGCTGGGCTACCTGGAGCTTGAGGTTTAATGTGTGCACGGGAAGCCTCCAGATGATTTCTAAGCTGCCAAAGCTGCTGCTCTCAAAGTCGAATTTCTTTCCCTGCTGGGTTCCACAAACAGTTCCTCTGCTGGAGTGGCTGGTCCTGTGCCATCCCTGCCCCACAGTGTGACGTGGTGGGTCTTCTCTGCAGCTGACGCCCCCTTTGGCTGCTGAGGACTCTGAGGCTTGCAGGGGTTTGTCTAAATGGAGGAGCAGGACCAGGACTGGAACCCTGATTCCAAAGCCTCTGCTCTTTGCATTGCGCCATGGGGCACCTGTGCATGATCCGAGCTAAGGAGTGGGACCCTGCTGGCTTGACAGAGGCCTGGGAGAAGCAGGGCTTAGCTCCTTCTGTGCACCAGCCATCCATCTTCTGTGCTTTGGATCAGGTAAGGGACAGATCCTGCGACAGACTGACTCCCGGCCTGCCCCCTCTCCTCTCACAGAGCCCTGGCTCTGGCCTCCTTCTCACTAACTCCAGCGTCAGGGAGGGAGGGAAGGGGCCAGTCTGAGACAGGCCCCTGTGATGTCTGGAAGCTCAAACCCTGCAATCGAGGGAAACCCCAGAGAGCAAACAGGGGAGAGGAGGTGGGGCAGGTAGGGCTGTGATTACCGGGTGGGGTGTAGAAGGAACTGGTGCAAGGACAGGACCCACCTTGGGGAGGTGAGATGGGAGGGCTGTTACCTAAAAACAGACCTGATTTTCATATAAATAGAACACCTATTCACTGTGTTTCTTTTTTTAAAGTTAGGATTTCAGTGTTTTCTTCCTTAGCAAACATCCCTGGCATTTCAGCCTGGGGTGGTTTCAGCCCAATAACATGGGCACTTGGCTGGTTCAGGTCATGATGCCCTTAATCCGGGGCTGAAGCAGTGTGCAGTATGTGTGTGCGTGTGCGTGTGTGTGTGTGCAACTGCAAAGAGCAATTCAGTTCTACATTTACTGACCCTTGGTTGACGCTTCTTCTGTGCTGAGAGATGGGGTCACAGAGAAGAATCAAGCTCTGTCCCTGTCCTCAAGGATACAGCCTAGTAAATGGGGTTAGCTTGGTCTGTGTGAATCAGCAAAGTCTTCATCGGATCTATTCTAGGCAGAGTTTTAAAGACAAATGGGAGTTTTCTAGATTCTTGTTTTTTTCTTGCGCAAACAGTTACTGAGCACCTACTACATGCTATGCATAAAACTAGCAACAGAGAGACAGGACACAGGTCCTCCCTTGAGAAGTCTAGCCGGAGACAGTGATAAGAATAGTAACAGCACAATGTCTTGAGGGTTAAAACAGAAGCATGTGTAAGATGCACCATTGGCTGGAAGAGGGAACCATCCACGTGGGGACGTGAGAACAAGGCCCTGTGCAGGGAGTGGGCTCGTCCTCTGGTGTGGCTGAGGCAAGGGAGCAGTGCAATGTGCACCAGGAGAAGAGGGGGGCTGGGAGACAGGCACTGGGCCTGAGCTTCCTTAGGCCTAAGGGCTCAGCAAGTTGCCCAAGAACATGGGACCACCAAGGAATTGCTGAGGCACAGCCAGGAGCAGGCCTGGCGGTCTCGGGCCAGTTGCCTGTGGATGCGCTGTGTGGTCCAGGGATGTTAGGACAACTCAGTCCCAGCTCTGACCTCCTCACTTATGACCTGAGTGGCCTCGGTCATGCCACCTCTCTGAGCTCCATCTGTTCATGTCTCAACTGGAAATTGTGATAACACTAACCACACCCCCTTGGCAGAGTGACGGGAGGAGTAAATGAGATGGTGCATGAAGGGCCTGGATAGAGCAGGTCCTGAAGCGCCTGGATGAAAGGATGCTGTTCTGCCTCCCCCGCAAGGCTATGGGGAGGTGGGACTGGGCCTGGGAGGGCCGTGTGGAGAAAGGGCAGTTGGCCCTCCTGACTCCTGCTGGTAACCCAGGTCCACGAGCAGGGAGCCAGTCCCACTCTGGCTCTGTCTAGGGTGCCATTGTGGGGCTGAGGGGTGGTGCTCACACTGGAAGAAAAGCTTAGTTGGCCTAGGCCTGGTTAGCCAGGCTGTCCATGGAAGCCTGGCCCCTTCACACTCCTTGGATGTTTTTCTTCTTCTTCTTCTTCTCTGAATTTAGGCCCCTTTGGGCAATAGCAGCCTGTCTGTGACAAGTGTGCCGGACAACCAGGGCTTGGCCCATCTGACCCTGGGACCCTGGTCAGGTCCAGGGTAGAGCAGCATTTGGGAATCTTCGAGGGTGCAGATGCTCTGGGATAGACCTGCCCAAGGTCTGGTCCAAGGACGGTGCTCACCTCTGCTTCCAGGCCCCTGGCTCAGCCCCGAGGCCCAGGGCTCAGGTCGGGCAAAGCGGTAGCATCTCAACTGCTCCCACACCATCCGTGGTCTTCCCGAAACCCTGGTGCTGACTTGGCCTTCGTGGAGGCTGCCCCGGGAGGGGCTCCAACAAGACGGGCCTTGAGAAAGGCCCGTTACCTGCCAGTGCTCGGCCTCCAAAATAGAATTTGAAGGGAGCAAAGCCTTTAATTCCATGTGTCCCAACAGCAGGTCGGTGTGGGGATAACTATGATCTGACTGGTCTTGAGTTATAATTACGGAGTCAGAATGAAAAATTACAGGCATTGTGTGGGCTTGTTTTAAATATAACGTAATCCATACCGTCCTCTCTCTTATTTGCTAGATTTGAGGTGGAGGCTTTGGCAGTTGGCGCAGGTTTTGCCTGACGTGTAGCAGATAAAAATGGCCTTTGCTCAGTGAAGAGGGCATGGTGGGAGGCCTCTGAGACCCTCAGCATTCCCAACTGCCCACTTCCCACAACCATAGGCACGTGTGCTTCCGTGCGAGCCCTGTTTGTCAATCGCATTATCTGTATGTTGCGTTTCCCAGCTGACCTCCCTATTTCCTGTCTCCCTCAAGCCAGTCCACCAGAAACATCTCTGTAAAACCCAGCTTTGATGCTTAAGGACCCATCAAGGGCCTCTCTCTGTCTATAGGGTAAATCCAAACTCCAAGTTTCTTTATGACTTGGTTCCAATCCACATTCCAGCATCACAGCTGGGAACAGGAGCTGTGGCATGGAGGTGACATGAAGTACAAGGGCCCTGGGGCCCAACGGCACAGGCTCCAACTCGGGCTCCAACTCTTAGTAACCGAATGTGAGTCCAGGCAGGTTCCTTTTTCTTTTTCTTTTTGAGACAGAGTTTCGCTCTTCTTGCCCAGGCTGGAGTGCAATGGCGCGATCTCAGCTCACTGCAACCTCCACCTCCTGGGTTCAAGCAATTCTCCTGCAATTCTCCTGCCTCAGCCTCCTGAGTAGCTAGAATTACAGGTGCACACCACCATGCCTGGCTAATTTTTCTATTTTTAGTACAGACGGGGTTTCACCATGTTGGCCAGGCTGGTCTCGAACTCCTGACCTCAGGTGATCCACCTGCCTCGGCCTCCCAAAGTGCTGGGATTACAGGCGTGAGCCACTGTGCCCGGCCAGGCAAGTTCCTTAACCTTAATCTGCGTGCTTTAGCTCCTCCACTTCTTGCTATTTATATGGGGTTGCTGTGAAGACAGAATGAAATAACACACTCCTAGAACCACCCTCGTCATGTCCCTTTTCCTCTCCAAGACTTAGCTGACCGATCACTGAAAGGAGGCAACAGAAATACTGTCTTTCGAGTTAGTCGATGTTTCTTTGAATGATATTTCTTGGTGTAGTTGATGGTGTGTGGCGAGATGGGCATGTGTTAGTTCAACCTTTCTCAAAAGTAAAATAAAAATACACATGCGAAATCTTAAAACATGCCTATACCCTATGAGTAGGAATCTAAGCTAAGGGAAAAATGAAATTGTGGACAAAAATTTATGCATAAAGATGCTTACTTTAGTATTTTTTGTTTTGTTTTTGAGACGGAGTCTCACTCTGTCTCCCAAGCTGGAGTGCAGTGGGGCGATCTTGGCTCACTGCAACCTCTGCCTCCTGGGCTCAAGTGATCCTCCCACCTCAGCCTCCCCCACTCCAGTCCCCAGGTAGCTGGGACTACAGGCGTCAGCCACCACACCCAGTATTTTTTTTTTTTGAGATGGAGTCTCACTCTGTCCCCCAGGCTGTGGTGTGCAGTGGCGTGATCTCAGCCCACTGCAACCCCTCCACCCCTCCCAGTTCAAGCAATTCTCCTGCCTCAGCCTCCTGAGTTGCTGGGATTACAGGCACCTGCCACCATGCCCAGCTAATTTTTGTATTTTCAGTAGAGACGGGGTTTCACCGTGTTGGCCAGGCTGATCTGAAACTCCTGACCTCAAGTGATCTGCCCACCTTGGCCTCCCAAAATGCTGGGATTACAGGTGTAAGCCATGACGCCTGTCCCAAGATGTTTACTTTGGTATATTTTTATATCCTTGAAAAACTGAAAACATACATGCCTGACATTTAGGTAATATTAGTTAAGGTGTGTCAGCTCAAAAGACTATTATGCAGTCATTAACAGTGTTTTTAAAGAATATTTCGTTATATTGAAAATGCATATAATCGGAGGTAAATAAATCACGTATAATGTATGGTCGTAGTGATAATAAAAATATGCGAGCACAGAAAAGGTTGATATTGAAATAGAATAGCAGTTATCTTTGATGAACGGATAGAAGGATTAATATTTTCTCCTTTATAGTTTTCTGTATTTTCCAAATATCCTAGAAACAGGCATGCATTATTTGTATAATTTTTTAAAAGCTTAACGTTAAAATGTTAAATAAAATGAGAGGGTAGGGCCGGGCGTGGTGGCTCATGCCTGTAATCCCAGCACTTTAGGAGGCCGAGGCAGGTGGATCATGAGGTCAGGAGTTTGAGATCAGCCTGGCCAACATGGTGAAATCCCATCTCCACTAAAACATACAAAAATTAGCCGGGCATGGTGGTGCACGCCTGTAGTCCCAGCTACTCGGGCAGCTGAGGCAGAAGAATCGCTGGAACCCGGAAGGTGGAGGTTGCAGTGAGCCGAGATCACGCCACTGCACTCCAGCCTGGGCGACACAGAGAGACTCCGTCTCAAAAAAAAAAAAAAAAAAAAAAAAGAGAGAGAACTTGATGTCAGAGTTCCCTTCTGGCTGGTATCAATCTACGATTCTAATAGGCTGGGACCACCCACAGGGCCTGAGAGGTGACTGCAGAGAGCCCTCAAGACCTGCCTCAAAGACAAGCAGCCACAGGGCAGGTCCAGAGCCCGGAGTCAGCAACTCACTGATCATGAGGATTCGCCAAGTACATCCACACAGCCTTCCCTTGAAGCCAGCTGCCTCTCTAGAGTCTTTCTGAAACTTTCCCAAGTGTTGAAGACTCTTCCACGCCATTGAAAGTGGGCAGGGTGACAGCCCCACTCTGACCCTGCTAAACCATGGGGCCTCGGTGGCCCCCCGTCCACCTGGTGCCAAGTGGGGTTTGGCCTGAGAGGTGAGCTCTTTCTGCCACTTCAGGTAAGGGGCTCGTTGGAGAAGGTAGGCAGGCGGCGCCATTGTCACCTCTGTGGACCTGTCTACTGTCCACACATCTGGACTTTGGGGACACCACTTTCTGGCTCTTTCAGACCACACACCCCCAACGGCCAGGACACACAACACTGTCTGGTGAGTTGTCCTGAGGGTGGGGCTTCTGGAACACTTCCTAAGAGGGAGTCACTGAGGGACAGCCTGCTCACTCCCAGCTACTTCTGGGATCTCAGAATCACTGGATCCAATCGAGCAGGTCAGCCCAGCTGAGGCTACCTGGAGAAATGAAAGGGGCCTTTGGTGAGGCCCTGGTGGAAGGAAGGGCAGGGCACCATGTGAGTTCACAAAGGGAGCTCCCCGGGGAGGGAGCCCTTGGAGGCAGGAGCCTGGAGCCCTGTGCCCAGAACCCTGCGCCCCGCCTCTAGACTGCAGCTTGTCAGGGCTTGGCTAGGACCTCCATGAACCAGCTCCACACCTGGCCAGTTAGGAACCAGAGAAACTCAGAGGAATCAGAGGCTAAGACACTGAGACAGACAGGCTTAGAGGGACAGTAAGAACAGCAGTCGGCGGGAGGCAGGCAGAGGTGTGGGGAGACACAGGCTGAGAAACAGACAGTGCCTGAGACAGGGCGGAGAGGCCCCCACTAGGCAGACTGTGCACATCAGCACCTCCAAACAGGCTCACCCTCACGATCACCAGGGAACGCAAATTAAAGTCCCCCTGATGTGCCATTCATTTCACACCTATGAAATTAGCAAACATTAACAAAATTATAATGTCTCATGCTGTTGAAGCTGTGCTGAAACCAGCTTACACACACTGCCAGTGGCAGTGTAAATTAACACCACCTTTTTAGGGGAGAAATTGGGCAATACGCTTCCAGAGCTATAAAAATGTTCATACCTTTTAATGTGGTAATTCTGCTCCTGGGAATGTGTTGTAAGGAAGTCATTCAACAGAACCATGAAAGACGTGTATCTAAAGACCATGAGGGCAGTGCTCTCCGCTATATCCCGGGGGCTCTAGTATGGCCGCCATGAATATTTTTTAAAATAGGGAATATTAAGACTATAGGCTGGGCGCGGTGGCTTGAGCCTGTAATCCTGGCACTTTGGGAGGCCGAGGTGGGTGGATCACCTGAAGTCAAGGGTTCGAGACCAACCTGGCCAACATGGCAAAACCCCGTCTCTACTAAAAATACAAAAATTAGCCAGATGTGGTGGCAGGCACCTGTAATCCCAGCTACTCAGGAGGCTGAGGCAGGAGAATTGCTTGAACCCGGGAGGTGGAGGTTGCAGTGAGCTGAGATTGCGTCACTGCACTCCAGCCTGGGTGACAAAGACTCTGTCTCAAAAAAAAAAAAAAAAAAAAAGACTATATAGTATAACATTTAAGGGTTCTTAGAATATGTGAAAATGAGCAGAAAATAAAACCATCTGTACATTAAAATTAATAATTCCATAAAACAGCTGCCTGAAAGCTCAGGGCAGCCCCACCCTTGCTGGTGGAGGGTGAATGGTTCTTGATTCCCGGCTGGCCATACAGACACTCCTGTCTTCCCACTGAGGGGCCTGCCCTGCCGCTCCCTGTCTGGAAGCCTAATCTGCAGACCTCAGACCGGTGGGGAGACAGGCTCAGCAAAGCCTGCCCACCTGGCCAGCTCATGGGAGTGGCCCTGGGGAGTCTGAATGGTGCTCACTGAGTCACATCCGCTGAGGTGTGTCTCTGATGTCACACCTACAGAGGCCAAACCAGAAAGGAAAAGAAAGAGATGGTGGGGTTGGGTCTTGGTTTAAGAAAGGGATGCAGTGATTCTGCAAGTTCTGAAGTGTCTTGCTTGTTGCAAGCACAGCGGTCTGTTTAAGCCAGCTGACGTCTGGATGCCCAGCTGGTGCATCACCAGCTGAAGACAATTTAGAATAGATGGAAGGCAAAGGAAGAAGGGATCCTGGGGTCACCCCTCCTGGACTGCTCCGACAGTAGGCACGATCTCATTCTAAACTTGATCATCCAGTTCTGCATGTTTCCCACCACTATTACCCATCACAGAAGCTGGCACTGAACGGGAACTCAGTGAATTGTGGGTGGATGAAAAGGTGAGAATTTGACATATTCTAAGACCACGTAGTATAATGACCATGTAGTATGAATGAGCACATGTCACCAGACAATTCCAGCTCTATCCAAAGCCTCTCTAGCTTTTCAAAGGTGCCCTTCATCATGTTCTGGGGATGCTATGCCCCTTGTGCCTGCCCTGCTAACTGCCAAGGGGATGCCCTTCCTTACAGAGGCCAAGAACATTCAGTGACCGTGCCCAGGTCCAGACAAGCCCAACCTTGTTCATTCGCTCCACGCATAGCTACAGAACACAAAGAGGCTTTGTGACAGGCCTGCCCTTGATGTGCTTTCAATCTCACGGGAGAGACAGGAGGAAACAACAAAGAATCATTCACGGAGTGACCACATGGATGCTGTAAAAACAGGCAGCAGCGGTGGGGAGCGAGAACACCCAGGAAGTGGGCTCAGAGTCAAGGACTAGGCAAGTCTCCTTGGGGAGGTGGAAATGGAGCAGGAATTTGAGGACAAACAGGAGTTTATCTGACAGAAGGAGCAACCGAGGTCAGGGGCACGTGTGAGTTTGCTTCAGCCTTCCCCAGCTTCTCATCAGTGAACCACAGGCAAGAAATTCATCCCGACCATTCCTTCATTCCTTCATTTATTCCTTCCACCAACACTTACTGCATGCTGGCTCTGTGCCAGACGCTGTTCTAGGTTTGGGGATATAGGAGTAAACAAGTCAAAGTCCTTGCTCTCCCGTGGGGAACATAGATCATAAACAATTAAGCAATGAATAAATAATATCAAGTCCCATTTTAGTAGGCGCTATAGAGAAATAGAAAAGGTTGACCAGGCGTGGTGGCTCATACCTGTAATCCCAGCACTTTGGGAGGCCAAGGTGGGCGGATCACGAGGTCAGAAGTTCGAGACCAGTCTGGCCAATATGGTGAAACCCTGTCTCTACTAAAAATACAAAAAATTAGCCTGATATGGTGGTGTGCACCTGTAATCCCAGCTACTCAGGAGGCTGAGGCAGGAGAATCGCATGAATCCGGGAGGCGGAGGTTGCAGCGAGCGAGATCACGCCATTGCACGCCAGCCCAAGCAACTGTGCGAGACTCCATCTCAAAACAACAACAACAACAAAAATGAAACTAATTAATCCAGAACAAGATTCCCAGCCTGTGAGAGGTTGGTGCTCAGGACGGAGGCCTGGGCGAGAGAGACATCCGCAGTCAGGCAGCGGTTGCCATGTGAGCGCCGGGGCAGTGTGCAAAGTGAGAAGCTAAGGCGGAGGAAAGAATTCTGGGGACCACTGACATTTGCCGGGTGTGGGGGGAGGGGGAGAGAGAGTTCAGGCTTACGGAGAACAACAGAGGAAAAAGTTTTGATGAGGAGGGAATTGTCCCCAGAGCCAAATGCTACGGAAAGGTCAGAGAAATTGGGGGTCGAGAAGAAGCCATTGGATTGGGAAGGGGAAACAGCACGAAGTTACATTGGGAAGGACAGATTTGGTGAGGTTGCAGTGCAAGGGCAGGGAAAAACGATCAGGACGGGGACGTGTGAGCAGCGAGGGTAGAGAGCTCTTTGAAGAGCCTGGGAAATAAAATGAATAATGGCTTAGGGTGTGCAGGGGTGGGCAAGAGGCAGAGAAATGGGAGTCCAGTTAGGGCAGGGGGAGATGAGACATTTTTGTTGACCTAGGCAAGGGACCAGGAGGAGAGGGAAAAGCTAAAGACTTCAAGGAGGAAGATGTAACCCAGGGACTTCCCACTGCTTCCTTCCCACCCCCTCAAACTCGGGCTACCTGGGACCCCCCAGGCTTCCTGTCTGACGCCAAGCTAAATGCCCTCTGTGGCACCTTCCCCCACAGTGGTTGCCCAGCGTTTGTCTGCTCTTGCTTTAGAAGACAGAGTGCTCACCGCCACAGGGCTGGCTCAACTGTGAGAAATGTTTTCCCTGGAGATCTGACACAGACGTGGCACAGTGTTGGGGTTTCAATGGGGCTTCCTATGTTTGTCTGTAGAATAAAGTTTTTTTTTTTTTTTAAGACGAAGTCTCACTCTGTTGCCCAGGCTGGAGTGCAGTGGTGCGATCTCGGCTCACTGCAACCTCCGTCCCCTGGGTTCAAGCGATTCTCCTGCCTCAGCCTCCCAAGCAGCTGGGATTACAGGCAGCTGCCACTGTACCCGGCTAATTTTTGTATTTTTAGTAGACACGGGGTTTCACCATCTTGTCCAGGCTGGTCTTGAACTCCTGACCTCGTGATTCACCCATCTTGGCCTCCCAAATTGCTGGGATTACAGGCGTGAGCCACCACGCCCGGCCAGATTTTATAATACATTTTTTAAAGTCTTTCTTTTTTTTTTTTCTGAGCCCAAATCCTCCTAGCTTTTCACCGTTTGATTCTAGTTCTGCTCTTGAGGCTGCCTCTGACAAAGACAGCCCTTCAGATAGCAGAATGAAGTGGTGTCTACCCATTCTTCCCATCTTAGGCTTGAATATCCCCTGCTCTTCTGATGGCCTCCAGGGTTTCTCCCGACCACATCACACCCTCAGTATCCTTAGGAGTAGATACAGTAGGTAGAAGACTAGGCATTTATTCCTCTTGTACCAACAGCGGCTGCTGGTTGAGAGCATAAGCTCCGGAGCCAGCTAGCCTGGGTTTGGATCCTGGCTCTGCTTCTTCCTAGCCAGGAATGCTGGGTAAGTCACCTAAGCTTCTCAATCCTCAGTGTCCTGACCTACTTCACCTAGGTGTGAGGAGTGCATGAGTTAGTACATGTAGAGTGCTGCAAACAGTGCCTGGGGGAGACTGAGAGCTCAGTGTGTGTTCTCTGCTCTACGATATTAAAGTGCCAGGCCAGGTGCAGTGACTCACATCTGTAATCCCTTTGCACTTTGGGAGGCTGAGGCAGGAGAATCATCTGAGGTCAGGAGTTGGAGACAACATGGCGAAACCCTGTCTCTCCTAAAAATACAAAAATTAGCCGGGCGTGGTGGCTCGCACCTGTAGTCCCAGCTACTCGAGGAGGCTGAGGCAGGAGAATCGCTTGAATCTGGGAGGTGGAAGTTTCAGTGAGCTGAGGTCGCACCATTGCACTCCAGCCTGGGTGACGGAACAAAGATGGTTTTACAGGACCTTGGTTTAAAAGTAACTAGACACCTGGAAGTACTCCCAGGGAGGTGAAAAATATCCAAAGACAAGGATCCAGCCTGTGGATGGAGACTGGAAAGTGGCTGCAGTTATATCACACAGAGAGTGCTGCGATGCCTAGGAGGACCAGGTACGTGTGCCCTGTCTCTTTCAGAAGCTTCAGGCCTGGCTTCAGGCTTCTGTCCTGCTTGGCATTCGCCTGTGGTTTCCAACTCCTCCGAAGTCCAGCCTTTGCTGCTGTGCGGGGATTGTCTGCCCTCTACTGTCCATCGTCTGTCATGGCACACATTTAACAGATGGCCAGGAACTCAAGAGGGGGCACTAATTGGGAGAAAACTTAGAGACGCACTTTTCTCCAACTCTTTTGACCATGACTCCCAGAAATATATTTTACACTGCGATTCCAAACAAAAAAGTTTCACGAAATAATGTTTACCAGCCAGGCACCGTGGCTCACGCCTGTAATCCCAACACTTTGGGGCAGGGGCGGTGGCTTATGCCTGTAATCCCAGCACTTTGGGAGGCAGAGGCAGGCGGATCACCCGAGGTCAGGAGTTTGAGACCAGCCTGGCCAACACTGTGAAAACCCGTTTCTACTAAAAATACCAAAACAAAAAGAAAAATTAGCTGGGTGTAATGGTGCGTGCCTGTAATCCCAGCTACTCAGGAGGCTGAGGCAAGAGAATCTCTTGAACCCAGGAGTAGGAGGTTGCAGTGAGCCGAGATGGTGCCATTGCACTCCAGCCTCGGTGACAAAGCAAGACTCCATCTCAAAAAAAATAAAATTAAAAGAAAGAAATGTATTGTCTCAGGCCACTCCGGGCCAAATACTGTGCTGAATCTATCAGTCTTAGGACTTTTAGAGAGAAGGCTCCACACTATCATCTCCTTGGAGCCTGGATATCAGTGTATAGACACCTTGAAAGAGCCATTTTGAGACCTTCCTAGACCATACACATTCTTATTTTTGGAGATCCTGATCCATATCATATGATACATACTAAAATTTATGCACATTGGGACTTACTGTTTTAGTCCATTTTGCATTGCTATAAAGGAACATACAAGGCTGGGTTATTTGTAAAGAAAACAGATTTATCTGGTTCACAATTCTACAGGCTGTACAAGAAGCATGGTACCAGCCTCTGCTTCTGGCGAGGGCTTCAGGGGACTTCTACTCATGATGGAAGGTGAAGGAGAGCAGGCATCACAGGGAGAGAGCAAAAGAGCAAGAGAGAGGGGAGCTGCCAGACTGTTTTTAGCAGCGATATCCCCCGCTGGAACCAGGAGTGAGAACTCAATTCTGCAGGAATGGCACTAAGCCATTCATGAGGGATCCGCCCCCATGGTCCAAATACCTCCCACTAGGTCCCATCTCGAACACCAGGGATCAAATTTCAACAGGAGATTGAAGGAACAAGTATCCAAACTATATCACTTATTAATTTCAATTTTGTTTTCTTTTTGTATTTTGAAGGCAACGAGTTTTTTGGGCCTCAGCCATTTTTGTAGGCCCTTGAACAATTCACAGGCCTTAGGACTATACCCTATCATGACTAATGGGTGAAGTAGCCTTGGTAAAAAAAAATCTGATCAATGAATATACACTAAGGAGAAATTTAATTACTTAGCCCTTATCTCCTGGTCTTTTTTTTTTTTTTTTTTTGAGATGGAGTCTTGCTCTGTCACCAGCCTGGAGTGCAGTGGTGCGATCTTGGCCTACTGCAACCTCTGCCTCCCGGGTTCAAGTGATTCTCCTGCCTCAGCCTCCCAAGTAGCTGGTACTACAGGCATGTGCCACCACGCCCAGCTAATTTTTGTATTTTTAGGAGAGACGGGGTTTCACCATGTTGGCCAGGATGGTCTCCATCTCTTGACCTTGTGATCCACCTGCCTCGGCCTCCCAAAGTGCTGGGATTACAGGCATAACCCACCATGTCCAGCCTCTCCTGGTCTTTTTAAAGGGAAATGTGGACAGGCCATTAACACTAAATACATGAGTTCCTACTGGTGAAATCTTTGCTACTCTGGTAGACTGGTGGGGGCAGTACAACTGCAGGTGGACCAAATGCCATGCGACTGGCAAGGTGTTCTCACTCCGAGCCTCAGTTTCCTCAAAGTAAAACAATGGGATTACATTAGCTTGATGATGTTCAAAGATCATTAGCATTGGGACCCTTTTGCAAATGAAATCTTATATGGCAAAAAGCAGACGTGGGATGGATAGACTTCTGAGTTTAACAGCTATGCAGGATGTCTGTGAAGACATCCAGGAGAACCTCCCCTAGGTGCCTGCAGAGATAGAGAGGTTTACTACAGGCAAGGACAGGTTTAGGGACCCCAGGAATTCCTGAGGCCTTGATTGGATCTCAGCTCTTAAGAACAGCAGTGTTTTTCAAACCTCATTGACAGTGACACAGTCAAAAATAAAGTTTGCTTCAAGATATGGTACATATGTAGTGAAATACAAGTTTTCATAAAATATATACACTGTAAAATAAAAGATTGTCCCACACGCTGGCTGGGACAAGGATGTTTTGGGAATATAAGCCACAAAACTCTTCTTGGAAATCAATTGTATGCCTGATTAAATGCTTAAGCCACTTTCTGATGAATTTTAATGAGATTATGACCTCTTGTTAGAAACCAGTTACCTATGTACACAGCTAATATCAACCCTGGAGGGAAGGAATCCAAGGGCCTTTAACTGTCTTTTAATAAATCTAATAATCCTTAACTAGAACTTTTCTTTCTTTTTCTTGTATCCAGTCTAACAATGATTATCTAGTCATTCTCTTTTCCTGTAAAGTGTCCTTACCTATAGACACTTGTTGAATTGACTTAGCAAAAGCCTCATTTCTTGCCGCAACATTGTAATAAAAACTTTGACACTGGGTCATAACTAAATTGTCCAAACCTGGCCAGGCGCGGTGGCTCATGCCTGTAATCCTAGCACTTTGGGAGGCCGAGGAGGGCGGATCACCTGAGGTCGGGAGTTCAAGACCAGCCTGGCCAACATGGTGAAACCCTGTCTCTACTAAAAATATAAAAATTAGCCGGGCGTGTTGGGCACCTGTAATCTCAGCTACTCGGGAGGCTGAGGCAAGAGAATCGCTTGAACCCGGGAGGCAGACGCTGGGCACCGTACTCCAGCCTGGGTGATAGACCGACTCTCTGTCTCAAAAATAAATAAATAAATAATAAAATAAATTGTCCAAACCCACCTCCTTTCTTACCCTTTCCTCTTTCCTTCCTTCCTTCCTATTAAACAGTGTGATGTATTCTGATATTGCTCTACTGATATGTTTTATTCTACTCTATTTCATTTTTTAAAATGCTGACTGGGACCCCCTAAATTGATTTCGCCAGTCTTTAATGTTTTGACTGCAGTTTAAAAACCACTGGGATAGCAATCCTGGTGGACCACTTTATTAAGACAGAAACACATTGTTGCCATTATAAAATAAAATCAGAGATGGAAACCAGGAAAGATAAAGGCACATGGTGAAAGCTGAGAAACTGTCTTCTGAAATTAAAAAAAAAATTAAAGGATGGGGGCAAGCCAAAAACTTTGAGAATATGGTTGCAATGCAAATAAGTGAGAATTTGTCTTCAGAATATTTAAAGGACTCAAGTAAGAAAAAGACGTGAAAGAAGCAAAACGAGCAAAGATATGAATAGAGAAGTCACAGAAAAAGAAACCCACAGGGGTAATAAGCGTATGAAAGGATGCTCTACCCTACCAGTAGACAGGAAAGAACAGAACCTGGAATTATTAAAACTTCAGAAACTTGGAGGAGGGACCCTGGAGATCTGAAACTCAGACTTTTGATAAGGGGTGCCAGTTGGCTGGTGCTGGTATTCTGAGCAGGGATGCAATAAAGCAGCTTTTTCAAACATTAGAAAGTTGCAACGTGGATTCAGCTGCCACTAAGGGAAGGAACATCTGCTACCAGGGTGAATTAGTTACTGGTGTGAGCTCGACATGGAGCCAGGTAAGAAGGCAGGAATATGGTTTGCAGAGACCTAGCCTTAGACAGGAAGCTGACTTTAGAAGGTAGAGGGTTGGAGCCAAGGGCGAAGCCTAACTCCCACAGTCAGTTCTATTGGTTAATCAGCATTTATATTTAAACTTCCATACTCAAAAGAAAAAATGGGCCAGGCGTGGTGGCTCACACCTGTAATCCCAGCACTTTGGGAGGCTGAGGCAGGCAGATTACCTGAGGTCAGGAGTTCAAGACATGGTAGCACACGCCTGTAATCCCAACTACTTGGGAGGCTGAGGTAGGACAATTGCTTGAGCCTGGGAGACAGAGGTTGCAGTGAGCCAAGGTTGTGCCACTGCACTCCAGCCTGGCTGACAGAGTGAGACTGTCTCAAAAATAAAATAAAATAAAATAAAATAAAATAAAATAAAATAAAATAAAATAAAATAAAATAAAATATTCTTTTCTATCTAACACAATGCAACTATTCTTCATAGAAATAAAGATGCTATTAGTCTCTCCTTGAGAAAAGAGACACACAAAGTCCCAAAAGTCACTGCATCCGTCTCTGGGAGAGAGTAATAATATTCATCTCTGAGCTACGATAATTACTCCATGAATGGAGTCGCAGTCCTGTCTGAATATTCTGTTACCTAAAAACTAAATTGTAAAGTTAATCTTCCACAAAACGTATATAAAATAATGAGGAGGAGACCTCCAGCTGGAGTGAAGTAAGGAACTGGATTTACCCTCTTGCCTGAAATAACTGAAGAAACAGACACAAGTGGGCCCCACAATTGCCCCAGCTTACTGCCTGGAGAAAGCTTTCCAGCTGCAGAGTAGGGAGGAGCAACCCTGGCAGAGTCCTATCATCTTCCTGAGTTAAGGGGACAGAGAGAGCTGGCAGTACTGGGAGGCCAATACAGCCAGAATTCACAGGGCAGCATGCTGAAATTGAGGGTGTTGTACAGAAAGAGAACTCTAGAGAAACAAAGGTCCCCATCAAGTATTCAGCTGAATACAGGAGAGAAGGGGATAAGGTGTTACCTTGAAGATAGGATGTATCGACGGCAGGCACCTCATGGTGGCCACAACAATGACCTGAGCCATCAAGTGTCCCCTCAGAAGATGAGACTGCAGCTCACGGAGCTGGAAGTCAGAGCTGCGCACCCAGCATTGGGCCAGAAGCCAGACCACTGGGGGATCCGTGGGCAGGAAAAGGGGAGGTGGTGGGGATCCTGTGCTGGGCAGCTGGAGCTGGAGCAGGGACAAGTGTGGGGAGAGAAGGCATGAGTGCCCGGCACTCAGCGATTCCCGCCCCCCTTGCATGTTAACCTCGTCCTCCAAACCTGTTCTGCTTTCCCCATCCCACTCCTGCCTCTCCCTACAGCTCCCATTTCCTCCCCTCCCCTTCCTACCAGCTCAGTGCATTAGCACCCTGCAAGCTGCTTTGCCTCCAGCATTCTGCAGAAACTGCTCTTCTGGTGCCTCCTCCAGCCTCCACTTCCCCTTTCAGTCCCCGCATTGTGGACAAGATTCAAACCACCTGCTTCCTCCATCCCACACTGTTTTTCGAAATCTCATCTTTTGGCCCCACCTCTACACAAATGACTGAATCTCTTGTTCTCAGCTGCCTGCTGGACAATTTAAATGTCTTCCCGTTACCTCAACATTGGCCAGACAAAAGTCTACCTGGGCACCCTGTTCTCTTTATTGGTGCTATTTCTGCAGGCACCTGGCCTGGCTCCCCTTTCCCCTCTCCTTCATCTCCCTCTGCACTCGCATCCACCGGTCCTCTCCATCCCGACGGTCACTACCCATATCCGAGCTCCCCTCCTCCTGGGGTCAGTGCTGGGGCATGTTGCCCCAGTCCCTGTTTCTAGCATCTCCCCTCTCCAACCCACCCTAAACACCACTGCCCACACCGCGTGCCTATAGCATGTTTCATCACAGCCTTCTCCAGCTTCCCACTTCATGCTCCTTAGCCTGGCTTAGTCTGGCCCCAGTCCAACTGTCCCCTAGGAATCTCCTGACTCCTCTACCTTAGCCTCTGCCCAGTCTGTCTTGCCCCTGAGGACTGGTCCTTCCTCTCCCTCCTGCTTGTCTGAGACCTGGCCCTCCTCCAAGGCTGGTGACATCCCAACTCCCCGATCCCTCCTGGGCTGTCTCTGTCCTCCGGGACTTCCTCAGTCCCGGAGCTTCTGCAGACTAGCCCTATGTGTCTCTCCAGCTACATTGCAAGGCCTTCGAATAGAGACTTGGCGCATTTCCTCCTTTCGCGTCTCCCTGGTGCCTTAGCCCAGCGCCTTTGAAGATGGTGCTTAGTGCATTTCGATAAGGGGCTGAGCTGAGAAGGCTGGAGACTGGGAGCAGAAATCCTGAGTCCTCTCACCTGGATGACCATGGGCAAGAGTTTCCCATCAGGCTGCAGTTTCAGCATGACCAGAGGGGCAGCCAGGTGCTGCTGGCTACAGAGACTGACGTTGGCCTTGATCCCATCCAGCAGGGAGAAGTCAGCTTCGAACAATGTGCCTCCCTGGGTGCAGGAAGAGGTCAAAGGCTGCTATCAACATAAAGCATCTTCTTCCCACTCGGATTCCTCCAAGGGGGAAGAGAGAGAGAGAGAGGAGAGAGAGAGAGAGAGAGAGAGAGAGAGAGAGAGAGAAGCTAACTTGTCTCCATCACCTACTTTGTACCAGGTAATGGATCATGTGCTTATTGCCTCATATCATTGTTTATTTTTTGAGCCAGGGTATTACTCTGTTGCCCAGGCTGGAGTGCCATGGCGGGACCACCATGGCTCACTGCAGCCTTGACTTCCTTGGGCCCAGGTGATCCTCCCACCTCAGCCTCCCAAATAGCTGGGACTACAGGTGCATGCCACTACACCAAAAGTTACAGGTGCTAATTTTTGTATTTTTGTAGAGGCAGGGTTTCACCACGTTGCCTAGGCTGGTCTCCAACTATTGGGCTCAGGTGATCCTCCTGCCTCGACCTCCCAAAGTGCTGGAATTACAGGTGCAAGCCACTGTGCCCAGCCTTATAATTTTTATACCTAGTTGAACGAGCCTCAGTTGCACAGAAGAGGAAACAGATAATCAGAGAGGCTGGGTATTTTGCCTGAGGTCACACAGCTTACAAATAGCAGAACCAGGATTCACATCCAAGCCTATCTGCCCTTAATCCCATGAATTTCCTCTCTGTTGTTCCATATCGCCTCCTGATGAACAGCCACAGCACTCTGATCCTGACTCTCTTACTCTGCACACTCCCCGAATCCCTAGCACCAGGGGCCAGTCACATTTCTTCATTTGACCCTGTTTCTATCAACCATTCCATCTTGCACGCCCTCCCTCCACAGCTACTCTCGTGTGGGAAGGAGGCCGAGCAGCTGAGCTTCTCCAGGGTCCCTCAGGACCTCTCCTGCAGAATCCGTCCTTGCTGGCTGGCAGCAAGCCAGGCCCACAGTGGGTCCCGCAGCAGCATCATTGGCACTAGGCCACCCCACTTCACTGCTGAGCTTCCTCAGGGCTCTGATGTCCATACCTCCAGCTCCTTCTCCAGCTGGGCCTGCAGTTCCTCCATGCCTGGAGGGAACACTAGGCGAGCAGGAAGGTGAGCAGAGCGCCTCAGCACCACGGGGTTGGCGCCATTAAGAAACTGGTACCCAAATAAGGCATCTTCCTTCCAGGAGTCCCGCACGCGCTCTGGGGAAGGCAGTTGTTGAGCAAGTTGTGGGATCTGAGCTCTTGGTCCTTCCAACCCCACCAACCATGCCCCCTTGACTCCAGCCCACCAGAGGGACCCAAGTCTCTGGTCTCCCCACCCTGCTTCTTTCAATTCCCCTGGGTTGGGTGGGATCTGGGGGTAAGCGTCCTGGGAGACATATTGGGGTGGGGGACTGACCAGCCAGCTTGCTCTGGCCACAGCAGAAAATCTGGTTGAAGTCATTCAGATCATTCTAGCAAGTCGGAACATTATTTTATTTTTGAGATGGAGTCTCACTCTGTCACCAGGCTGGAGTGCAGTGGTGCAATCTTGGCTCATTGCAACCTCCACCTCCTGGGTTCAAGCAATTCTTGTGCCTTAGCCACCCAAGTAACTGGGACTACAGGCGCGTGCCACCACGCCCAGCTAATTTTTGTATTTTTAGTAGAGACAGGGTTTCACCATATTGGCCAGGATGGTCTCGATCTCTTGACCTCGTGATCTGCCCGCCTCAGTCTCCCAAAGTGCTGGGATTATAGGCGTGAGCCACCATGCCCAGCGTCAGAACATTTAGTTTTTGATAGTGAGGTCGGCCAGCCTTCAGGACAGAATGGGGCAAAGGGTTTGAGCATCATTCTGAGACTCCAACATGACAGCCACAGGCACCGACCTTGAGCCGGTCCAGTGCAGTGCAGTGCAGCCCATAAGCCCCTTGGCTTCCACTAGACCAGGACACCTCCCTCTCACCCAGCCTCCCCTTGCTCTCACCCTTTGGCCAGCGAAACCTTAAAGTCAACACTCTTGTCTTCCAGAAATTGCTCATCCACAGGGAGGTCACATAGTTTTGCCCCAGCCACATTCAGAATTAACCCATCCTTCAAGTTTCCCCACCTGTAGGGCAGGAAGGAAATCAGGCGTGGGTGCTGGAAGCATCAGCAGCTCACGTGGGGTCAGGGGAGGAGGGCTCACCGGTACAACTTCCTTCTCTCTTCCAGCTCCTCTTCCTGGTGTTTCTGGAACAGGCCTCGAGGGTCGTCGCCCACAGTACGGCCTAGAAGGCCAGAGGAGGGCTTGGCCAGTGACTTTTGGTGAGCGCCTCTTCTCGCCCCTGCCAGGAGAGCCTCATCACTCCGTCCTTCTGTGTGACCCCTGCCTCTTCAGCATCACGCCCCTCCCCCAGGCTCCAGCCACTTTGTGCCAGCTGCAGCCACAGCCCCTTCGACACTCCCAAAGAGCCCTGCGCTCCAGGTTCCAGCACCCCCATCCTGCGCCCTCTTCTCCACACGCGCATCCCCCCAGCTTCTCTCGCACCCCAGAGGCCTCCTGACACCCCCAGCCCCGCGCTTACTGGTGCCTTCAGGCAGGCTCAGGACGCCGTCGACCTCCACCCAGCGGTAACAAGGGAACCTGACCTCGTCCCCGGCTCCGGGGCCCTACACGGAGATCCAGCTGCAGAACCTGAAGGAAGTGACGTTTGCGCAGTTTCACAAACATCAGCGGCCCCAGGTACTCCGGTACTTCCACCTTGAGTTCTGTCTCCTGCGGGCGACAGAAGAGGCTCAGCCCCGGTGGGGCCTGGCGGGAGGGGCACCCGGCTGAGCCCTGCTCCCTCCAGCGCCCACGCCCTTCCTCGGAGCCTCTGAGAGGAGGAGACGTATCGGGGTGGGGGGACTGAGCCAGAGAGAGAGGGACCGCGCCGAGCAGGTGGCCCCAGGACTCGGTTCTGAGGGGACGGGGACGGCAGGTGGGAAGGTGCGCTCCTGCCTTCACTTTCTCCTCCCTGTGGTCACTGACTGTGCCAAGCGCTGGGCTGAGCGCTGCCGCGCCCTGGACGAGCGCGCTGTGGAGCCCGGACGCGCTGGTGGCAATTCCCGCTGTGCGACCCCTCCACCCCACCCCGCCCGAGGCTGAGGACCTGCAGGGGCCCCACCGGCCTGGGGACAACCTTCCCGGAGACCTGGAGGCGGAGAGGGCTCAGCCAGGGAGAGTGACAGAAAGGGAAGGCAGGGGAAAGGCGCGCAGAAAGAGAGCGGCGGGGAAGGGAGGGCGAGCAGCATCTTGGATCTGGAGCTCAGAGCCCAGGTGTGGGGGGTCAGCAGGTCCGGAGGCTCTCGAAGGTGGCGCCAGGGGCTTTGGATTTGGTCCCGAGAACAAGCGGGAGCCGTTCGAATGTGTTAAGCAGGGGGAGTGAATTAGGGAGAAATCATTCCGGCTTCAGAAGGGCTTGGAAGGTCTGCAGCAGAGGTGGCGAGGCCGCTGGAGGTTTGAAATGGCTTTTAAAATAGAGAAACCGGGAGGACCGACGACCGCTCCGGCGACCGCAGTTTCCAGGCACCAGAGCTGTGTGGAATGAGGGGCGCTCAGGAGCATCCCCTTAATTCCAAGGAGATCGAGTAGCGGAAACATTTATTGAGCGTTTACTGTGTGTCACCAACTGCCCACCATAGGGAGGAAAAAAGGGAGGAGGGAGCGCGCCTTTCCACCTTCCGTGCCCCGTCCCCTCACCATGGAGTCGCGGGGCCACCTGCTCCGTGCGCATTTTCTCTCTTTCTGGCTCCCTTTGCCCCGCTTTCTCGGAAGCTCGGAGCAAGGGCGTGGAGTGCGGGGAGCAGGGCTCCGCAGGTTCAAGAGGACGCGGGCGATCGGGGGCGGGACGGATATTGGGCAGGGACGCGGGAGATGCTCAGGGTCTAGAACTGACTGCGCCGGATTCTTGTTTAGAGGGAGGTGAAGAGAGGAAGGAGGCGCGGGTGACACCGGGGGAGGCAGGAGGAGAGGGCTGGGAGGTGGGGAGAGGGGAGGACCTCATCCGGGCATGTTGCTTTGACGTTCCCTGAGACAGACATCCGGATTTGGCGATCTGGGAGAGAGCTAGAGCAGTGATGGGAATTTGGGCTTTCGCGGAAGAAAAAAAGTAACAGGACCGGGTAGAACACCCGGTAGATATGACATGAGATATGACGGGAGGTGGGTCGGGAAATCGAGAGCGTTCTCCTGTCTTGACTCCCCATCCCTTCCCTCTCACCACCCACTCCACCCCAGGTGATAAAGCCTGAAAGGTAGAGATCCAACAGCGCTAGCGGTTGAAACGTTTTTTAAAATAGAGAAAGCGAGAGGACCGACGGCGGCTCCGGTGACTGCTGAGTTTCCAGACAAGGGAGCTCTGTGCAATGAGGGGCGCACAGGAGCATGCCCTCAATTCCAAGAAGATCAGGTAGCCGGAAAATTTATTAAGCGCTTACTGTGTGCCACCTGCGTGTTTTCTGTCCAAATCAGAAAAGGATTTGGACAGAAAACACGCAGGAAGAAGGAATCAACCCCTGGTACAGCAGGCAGGCGAGGTAGGGGTAGGAGTTATGCACGTGTATGCAAGCCTGGATGGCTGGGAAGCCAACCTCCATCTAAAGGCAAGCGCGGACATGCACACACACACACACGCCTCACAAGTTGGATTGCAAGAGAGGGTGAAGTGGGCGAGGAGACCCAGTCAGCCGTGGCATTTGAGGAAGGTACATTTAGGCCACCGAATTCATTCCACCAACTTTGCACACTTGTCTTCCTTGTGCCAGGCTCTGGGACTCATTCCTTTTGAGGGTAAAAGTCTGCCTCCCTGGACTCCTGCCCCTCAGGCGCTCCCACAGCCCGGCACCGCCCCCTCGCCATTCCGGAGCCAGCGCGGGCTAAGCGGGCCTGGCCGGGGATGAGCGGAGCCACCGTCCCCATATTCCTCGGTGCCCCGGGACCGCAAGAGGGAGCCGTGGTTTCCGGAACTCCTCCCGCCCCTCCGGGCTTTTCCTCTGTTAGGCAGGTGGCGATTCGCTGTCTTTGCCTGTTATGGCCGCTGCCGTCGCCCTGGAGACAGGTGAGTAGCGCTCTGAGCCTGGAGTCTTCGCAGATAGAACTCTCCTTGGCCCAGACCTCTTCTCCCGCTTCCCCTGGGCCTCCTTCCAGGCCTCACTCCCGGCAGGATTAGTATTTGGACAGGGAGGAGAGAAGGCTCTTGCAGCGTCTAGAAAGGCTAAGGTACTCTGCAGTTTTCCTAATTTGGTTTGTTCGCACACCTTTGCTATTCAAACACGACCCCACCAGCTTCCCAGCGTGGGCGAGACTAAGGGAGAGGACTTGTGTCTTAAAGCGTGTCCTCCTTGTGTCTTAAAGCGTGTCCTTGATTGGTTTTCTGCTTCTCACATGAGCTTGCATACGTTTGAAATATCGTCGCCAGACCTGTGTATCATTGTGTTACTTGTGATTCTTATATATGCATATGTTCCATCATCTTTTAGGCTCTCTGGAGTCTCTTGTTCAGCTTGCATCCTAAGTTTTTCTTAACTGATTCAGCACGTGCTTTTGCGAAACTTAATCACTGTTAACAATTGTTACAATGCATTATTAAAATAGGGGAAGCCACAGTTATTACAGCCTACCTTAGAGATCACTGTTAAAATTCCTACATAGTGGCCCATGAGTGGTAGGTATTGTGTCTCATTTGTGTTGCTGTTTTCTTTGATGATTTCTCTTTACTTTTAAAGGTAACCCTCTTCCATGACTGTTCCTTAAAGTGGTGCGCTGTCCCAGTAGACCATGCTCTAGCTTTCCAAGCTGCTAGAACTGTCAGTGTTTCTCAGCCTTGGCACTATTGACATTTTGGGACCAGTGATTCTTCATCGTTGGCAGAGGGGAGGGTGTTGACCTGTGCACTGTAGGATGTCAGGTGGCATCCCCGGACTCTACCCGCTAGGTGCCAGTAGCACCTAATGTGCCACCCACCCCCTCCCAACAACTTTTCAACCAAACTAAAATGTCTCTAGAGGTTGCCATATATCCTCTGGGGGACAAAATCACACTTAGTTGAGAACCACTGTCCCACATTCTACACACAGAAGCCAAAAGGATATTTTTTAAATGTAAATGGCATCATGTCGTTCCCCTGTTGGAAACCCTTCAATGTTTTCCTGTTGACCTTAGAATAATCTCAAATTCCTTACTGTGGCTTAGAAGACCTTCTGTGGACTGGCCCCTGCTTGCTTTTAACTCCTCTCTTCCGTTCTGCTTCCATGTCTATATAATTGCTTCTCTCTCACTCCAGCCACACTGGCCTTCTTTCTGTTCCTTGAACATTCAAAGCTGGTTCCCATCCACCCTTTGTATTTGCTGTTCTTCTGCCTAGAATGCACCTGTTCCAGATCACTGTTCATTCACACATATCTCAGATTACATGTTAACTAATCAGCAAGGCCTTCCCTGACCATTTTATCAAAAGAAGCCACTTACTTCCATTCTCTATCACATTACCCATGTATTTCCTTCATAGTGCTAATCACAATAGAAAATTGTCTTGTTTCATCATTGCTTGTCTGCCTTTTCACCAGAGTGTAAGCTCCACTAGAGCTGGGACTTTGCCTTTTTTACTGCTATAGCCCAAGTTCCCAGAATACAGACAGTTCCCAACTTAAGATGGTTTGACTTATGATTTTTCGACTTTACAATGGTACAAAAGTGACATTCAGTAGAAATAGTACTTTAAGTACTCTTACAACCATTCTTTTTCACTTTTAGTACAGTATGCAATAAATTACATGAGATATTCAACATTTTATTATAAAACAGGCTTTCTGTTAGATGATTTTGCTCAACTTTAGGTGTTCTGAGCATGTTTAAGGTAGGCTAGGCTAAGCCATGATGTTTAGTAGGTTAGGGGTATTAAGTGCATTTTCAAATTACCATATTTTCAACTTACAATAGTTTCAACGGGAGGTAACCCCATCGTAAGTGGAGGAACATCTAGTGCCTGGCACAGAGCCGGTTCTCAATAAATATAACTCTTCTCCATCTTCTTCAAACCTCAGGCCAGGTTTCAGTGACCTCCTCTCACTTTCTAAGATTATTTTTGCTTGCTGGTGGGTTTACTGTCATTTTTAACCACATCTAACCTACCTTAAAAAAGTGTATGGATGGGGGTGCCAGGTACAAAGACTTAGCATAAAGAAAACGACCATTTACTTTGAAACATAAACAAAGGCCAATTAATAATTTATGAGTCTGTTCCTTGTCCCTCGAGTTTTTAGCAGGCATGGAATCATTCCACAGGTCATTATTTCAGTTTGGTCTCTGTTCCTAAGGGGTGAAGGTTTTCTGAGGGCTGTGGATCCCAAACTCACCTGGCTCAGAGGCTCAAACAGCCTCTCTTTGTCCATCAACCCGATTTAGACAGCATCCTGGGCCTGAAAACCTTCTGTGCTGGCTTCAAGTGAAAATAGTTCACTGGGTCAAAAGTAGGCTGGTCCAAGACGCAGGACGGTCAGTAAACGTTGGCTGTGTTCAGAAACTGCGGCTTGGCTGTTTCTTACATTGATTTATGGTTTGTTTCCATGAAACCGAAAATGATTGGTCCACCTGGCAGCTGGCTGGCTGGCTGGCAACTGGAGGCCTTTCTGTCCTGGCTGAGGGCCCTGGCCCCTTGGTGGCCTTTGGGAAGCAGCATCTCATCGGGCCGTTTTTTCGTTCTGGCGGGCGGCCGGCTTGGCCCGCGGGGTCGGGCTCTCCGCGCAGTGCAGAGACGTCTCCACCCTCAGGGACGAGGCTCTGACGTGGCGGGAGGTCGTTTCCGTGCGCTGCGAGGAGGATTCCACGTGCCGGGAGGACGCCTCGAGGATGCGAGGGAGCCGCTTCCCCGAGGGGGAGAGGGAGGGCCCCTCGCTGCGGCGCTGGGAGGTCTCCACCCGCCGGGACGACGTCTCCACGCGGTGGGACGAGGTCTCCACGCGGACCGTGGACGTCTCTGTGTAGCGGGTGGTCCCCACCCGGGGCGAAGACTGCTTGGCCCCTCGGGCTGAGGCCATTCTGCCGGCGTGAGGGGGCCAGGGAGGCCTCGGGGCACCCTACAGCCCAATGGTCACCGCAGGCAGAAGAGAGGAAAACTACGGTACTGCCATAGCCGGGAGCGCCACAACACGATGACGTGGAAGCACCATGGTCCTTCGAAGGCTAAAACACTGGACTCCTGCCCCTCAGGCGCTCCCACGGCCCGGGCCCCGCCCCCTCGCTATTTTGGAGCCAGCGCGGGTGGAGCCATCCCAGGGCTGGTCGGGGATGGGCGGAGCCGCCCCGCCCCATATCCCACAGTGCCCCGGGACCGGAAGAGGGAGCCGTGGTTTCCGGAACTTCGCCCGCGTCTCTGGGCTTTTGCTCTGTCAGGCTGGTGGCGTTTTGGTGTCTTCGTTTGTTATGGCCGCTGCTGTCGCTATGGAGACAGGTGAGTAGCTCTCTGATCTTGGAGTCTTCGCAGATGGAACTCTCCTTGACCCAGACCTCTTCCCCGTGGCCTCCTTCCAGGCCTTACTCTTGGCAGGGTTAATATTTGGACAGAGAGGAGAGAAGGCTCTTGTAGCGTCTAGAAAGACTAAGGTACTCTTTGCAGTTTTCCTGATTTGGTTTGTTCGCACATCTTTGCTATTCAGACACCACCCCACCAGCTCCCTGGCGTGGGTGAGACTAAGGGAGAGGACTTGTGTGTTAAACCGTGTCCTCCTTGATTGGTTTTCTGCTTCTCACATGAGCTTGCCTAAGTTTGAAATATCGTCGCCAGACTTGTGTATCATTCTGCTACTGGTGCTTCTTTTTTTTTTTTTTTTTGAGACAGCGTCTGGCTCTGTCGCCCAGGCTGGGGTGCAGTGGCGCGATCTCGGCTCACTGCAAGCTCCGCCTCCTGGGTTCACGCCATTCTCCTGCCTCAGCCTCTCAAGTAGCTGGGACTACAGGAGCCCGCCACCGCTCCCGGCTAATTTTTTTTGTATTTTTAGTAGAGACGGGGTTTCACTGTGTTAGCCAGGATGGTCTCGATCTCCTGACCCTGGTGCTTCTTATATGCATGCGCTGCATGATCTTTTAGGCTCTCCGCAGTCTCTTGCATCCTAAGTTTTTCTTTACTGATTCAGCCCCTAGCGTTTGCGAAACTTAATCACTGTTAACAGTTGTTACAACGCATTATTAAAATAGGGGAAGCCACAGTTATTACAGCCTACCTTAGTGATCACTGTTAAAATTCCTACATAGTGGCCCACGAGTGGTAGGAATTCTCCGTTTGTGTTGCTGTTTTCTTTGATGATTTCTCTTTAACTTTAGAGAAACTTCTAACTTACTCCTTTTAATCAGGGCTCCGCTTTTCTTAGATTTCGAAGGAAGGTTTATCTCCTCCCACTCCTAGTTTAGGAAGACCATCTCAACATTAGTCAGGTTTCTTTATTGCTCTTTCCTTACTACAAATCAGTATTATATACAGTGACCTTTGTTTTCCATGATTTTTGCTGTCTTGTCTCCTAGATGATGCTGGAAATCGACTTCGGTTTCAGTTGGAGTTGGAATTTGTGCAATGTTTAGCCAACCCAAATTACCTTAATTGTAAGTTGTTAAGCACCTCATTAAATTGAGTAGCTATTAATGATTTCTGACAGAAGAGTTGCAGTTCAAAATAGTATCTACTTTTACACATTCTCAGTTGAATGACATTACACTTATGCTGGTATATAGATATAATTGCGTACTGGGACTTGTGTTTTGAATCCAATGTGTGTTGGTGGTGGGGGTGTTATGTAAATAGATCCTTTATATTAGGGGTAACAAATCACAGTTTAAGGATTGGTTTGACCTACAGATTTTTTTTTTTAATGCTTTTCAGTTCTTGCCCAAAGAGGTTACTTCAAAGACAAAGCTTTTGTTAATTATCTTAAATACTTGCTTTACTGGAAAGACCCAGAATATGCCAAGTATCTAAAGTAAGTTTAATTTTTATAATCCTAAGCATGTGTATACTTTATTATATAATAGATTTCTTAGTTTCACATTGGCAAAAATGTATTTGGAATCTCTCCACTTCTTTTTGTTATCACCGTCTTAATACAAGACACCCTCATCTCTAACTTGTAACACTGCAGTAATCTACTCCCTGGTTATCTGTGCTTCCACTTTTACCTTCCTGCCCCCATCTCCACCCCAACCCAAACCAAGCAAAACAGCTTTCTACACAGAAACCAGCTTAATCTTTTAAAAATATAAATCAGAACACTTTACTTTCTTGCTTAGAACCTTTCAATGGCTTTCCATTCCATGCAGAATAAAATCCAGTCTTTTTTCTTGGACTAAAGCCTTATACGATCTGGCCCTGCCTTTTCTGACCTTGTCTTTTACCACCCTTCCCATCTCACCAGGTTTCTGGTCCCTAAGAACTCACAATCTGTAAATGTAGTAGCATAAGCCATGGGCTGAAATTAAAAGAGGGTATCTGTAAGGAAGGTGTTTCTGGGGTTATTTGAAGGAGGTGATCTTACCTGAGTCTTAGAGTTGCTGTCTTTTATTTAAGGCCTCTTATTTGCCAGGAACAGTGCTAAATGCTTCATATGCATTAACTCATTTATATATATATATTTACCATTCAGGTCGTTCAGCAGACACTTTCATGTTAAGGCTTACTAAGTTGCAAGAAACATATTATAACCACAAAGCAATTCCCTTTTAATGGTTAAAAAAAAAAAACAAAAAAAACAAAAAAAACCAACCCACCTTGAACTCACACCCCTGCTTTGTCTTAAGCAGGTAGAAAGCAATAATGAACCTTTAAAAAAAAAAAAAAGTTTGAGAGGAAAATGTTTCAAACTTCTCTCAAAGTCACTTTTCTGTGTCCAATAACAATTGACTCACGAAGCACATACGTCTTATGTTGCCTGCAGGACCGTTTGCACCTTTTCTGGCTTTTTATCCATTTAATAATCCAAAGAACAGACTTTTAAGAAAAGTAGACTTCAACGAATATTGTATGTATGTAGATTTACAGACTCAGTGTTGGAAGCCTTAGCCACCAACAAGTTTAATCTTACCCACAACGTTGCCGAGAGATGGTCATCTACACTCTGGAGGTTTCCATTGAGCCCGTGTTACTCTGTCAGGGACAGCTGATTCGATTGTTAGCCAGATATTAGAAAGTTCTTCCTTATATTGTGATATAATGTACCTCCTTGTAGCCCCAGTCTGTTTGTCCCTGGATGAAGCTAGAACCATTCTATACCCTCTTGAGGACAACAGCCTTCCAGATATTTACATTCAAGAGAGACTGCAAATTAGCCCCTTTTGGGTGTTTTATTCAGTCTGCAGAAGATTTTAGTTTTTTTAATACTTGCCAACATTTAAAGATCAGAAAGTTGTATATAACAAATGCAGATTTCCAGCTACTCTTTCAAATCTGGAAGATCTAGTAACCATAGATCTTAATTCTCCCAAGTCAACAACTGGGCTGAAGCTGAGAGCAGCTGTCACTACTAGCTGCTTTCCACCTGGTGGAAGAGACACTTTCTACCACTTGGCCTGCTTCATTGATAGCCAGTAGGTGCCACTATAACATCTCTCTTCCATCTATTTTTCTCAACTACCCTCTGCCATTGTGCCATGGTGTCCAGAGTTCTCATGAGTTGAGGTTCCCTCCTTTGGATATTTGGCAGTTGTACTTTATGCAGTTCAGCCAAGAACTAAACACAGGCCTTCAGGTGTGGTCAGAGTACAGTGGGCCAGAGGTCCTTTCTTTTCTTCATGTGGTCATACACCTCTGTTAATTCAACTTAAGTTTATATTACTTTTGGGGGTGGGAGTGGGGAAGAGGATCACATTGTTGACTTGCTGGAAGCATTATGTCAACTAAAATCCTTCAGTTCTTATTTTCATCATGCTGTTGGGTTCTCCCTATGTTGTTTCTTTTTAAAAACACCAAATGCAGAACTTCCCTTTTATACTGCTTCTATTTCATCTTGTTGACTTGTAGCCTATCAGAGTATGATTCTTTATTGTCATCTAAGGTATTCTGATATAATCACTGCATGTCTAAATTCTAGTTATTGACTAAATGCTACTTGAGACCATTCTCTTGGTTGTCACATTATTTTACAGTTGAAGAAACTGAACCTTAGAGAGGTTAAGTACCTTGTTAAAGGCCACCTGGCTGGAACATAACATCCTGGTCATTTTAACTACTAATGCTGTCATGAAAGGGAGTTAGCCAGGGCAGGTGTGAATAGAGCATTCTAGCATAAGCAGCCAACAATTAGAGCAACTGTGTATTTTTAGTGTGTGGATAGCAAATCTTTGCTGTCTTGGAAGTTACTATCTTAGAAGCATGGTATTAAGCCCTCTATTCAATGTGGTGTTCACATCAGTAGCATTGGTTTCATTTGGGAGCTTTTTAGAAATGCAGAGCTCAGGCCCCACTCCAGGCCTAAGGATTCAATCTGCATTTTAAGAAGTGACCCATATACACATTAAAGTTTTAGAAGCATTGCTGTAGTATCCTATTTTCCACACTTTAGTCATTTGCATATCACTTGTGCAACTTTGGCTTTATCTGCATACTTCCTGAAGGGGGCCTGCCCCTCCACACCTGTGGGTATTTCTCGTCAGGTGGAGATGAAAGAATGAGAAAAGAAATAAGACACAAAGTATAGAGAAAGAACAGTGGGCCCAGGGGACCGGCACACTCAGCATGCGAGGACCCGCACCAGTGCCGGTCTCTGAGTTCCTTCAGTATTTATTGATCATTATTTTTACTGTCTTGGCGAGGCGAGTGTAGCAGGGCAACAGGTGGCGAGAAGGTCAGCAGGGAAACGTGAGCAAAGGAATCTGTATCATGAATAAGTTCAAGGAAAGGTACTGTGCCTGGATGTGCACATAGGCTAGATTTATGTTTCACTTTACACAAATATCTAACTAGCAGAGAGCAACAAAGCAGTATTGCTGCCAGCATATCTCGCCTCCAGCCACAGGGCGGTTTTCTCCTATCTCAGAATAGAACGAATGGGAATGGTCGACTTTACACTAAGACATTCCATTCCCAGGGACGAGCAGGAGACAGAAGCCTTCATCTTATCTCAACTGCAAAGAGGCCTCCCTCTTTCACTACTCCTCCTCAGCACAGACCCTTTACAGGTGTCGGGCTGGGGGATGTAAGGTCTTTCCTTTCCCACGAGGCCATATCTCAGGCTGTCTCAGTTGGGGGAAACCTGGACAATACCCAGGCTTTTCTGGGCAGGGGTCCCTGCGGCCTTCCGCAGTGCATTGTGTCTCTGGTTAATCGAGAATGGAGAATGGCGATGGCTTTTACCAAGCATACTGCCTGCAAACATATTGTTAACAAGGCACATCCTGCACAGCCCTAAATCCATTAAACCTTGATTCAATATAGCACATGTTTCTGGGGGCACAGAGTTGGGGCTAAATTTACAGATTAACAGCATCTCAAAGCAGAACAATTTTTCTTAGTACAGATCAAAATGGAGTTTCTTATGTCTTCCTTTTCTACGTAGACACAGGAACAATCTGATCTCTTTTCCCCACACTTCCTATATGTTAATGTATTTTAATTGTCTGTTAGCTTTTATGTCTTTTCAACTTGAAATAATTTCACTTACAAAATAGCTGGAAAAATAGTAAAGATAATTCCTGTATTTTGTTCACCCACGTATTCCAAATGTGTAACACTACAATCAGCAAAAATCAGCACATTAATATTATTACCTAATCTACAGACCTCATTCACATTTTGCCAGTTGTTCTGCTGGTGTGCTGTATGTAGTGCAGGATCCAGTCTAGGCCCGTATGTTGCATTTTGCTGTCATGTCTTCTTAGTCTCCTTTCATCTCAGTGGTCTTTTCTTTTCCATGACTATGACAGAAATGATTTGTATCCTTCATATATCTGCAGTCACATGAAGTCTATTTGTCCCACTACTGGTGACGTAAATTTTGGTAACTTGGTTGAGGGTGGTACCGTCTAGGTTTCTCCATATTAAGTTGCTATTTTTCCTTGTGTATTTAATAAGTATCTTATAGGGAAATCCTTTGAGACTATGTAAATATCATATTACATGTATTTTGCCTGTTTTAGCATCTTTTGAAGATAATTGCCTGAAACATTTTTTACTGTGATGATTTTCTAATTCTATCATTCTGCATTTATTAGTTTGGAATTCGATTGTAAGGAATTATATTCCCTTGTTTCCTATTATTTTATTAAAGAAATTTACATCCATTTAGTGTGGACTTTTGGATTCTTATTTTTAGTAGAATTATGAATTAGAATTATGTATTTTCTTGCGCTAAGTATTCCAGATTTGGCCATTGGGAGGCCCTTCAAGTTGGCTCCTGAATACTTTTGATCCTCCCAGGAATTTTTAGCACTTTTTCTTCTGGCACTACGTAATGTTCCAGGCTCATCTTGTACTTTTCCTGTCTTATCCCTGAATCACCCTTTTCTCCAAGGAAACCTGCTCCTTGGAAACCACAGTCTGGTCATTGTGTGTTCATTAGTACCACAGTGTCATTGCTTCTAGGCCCTGTCAGTACACAAAGCTCAAGAACTATATATATATGTATGTATGTGTATACATGCACACACATATACATGTTTATTCTATGTCTATATTAAAAGCCGTAAGTACATACTGATGTTTTCAATACCAGCTCAGTAACACAGGGTTCATTCTAGCCTTTTTCCTTTCCATGTCTATAACTCCTTTTCTGATAGCCAGAAATTTGGCTGTCCTTATCCACAGTATATTTGCTTGTCCAATCCTAGAGTATATCTAATTTCAGAATTGGTATATCCCTGTGGACAACAAGAGTACAATGTATGCGCATAGTCCTCTTTCACACTCACTTTTAAATGAAAGTTGTCTTTTTATCCCTATTGAAGGAAAAATGAGTAACTATCAATTAAACACATAATTACTAAAATATGTTCATGTTCTTCACGTTGGAAACCGCTAGAAGGGAATAGCATGGTTTGTCCCTAAATTTTCACTCTGCTTACCAGTTACTGTGTTGTGTGGTCTTGAGCAAGTTAATTTAATCTTTCTGAACTTAAACCTTCTCATTTTCGAAAATATTGAACACTGACCTTTGATGACTAATCGGGGAAAAAACCCTATGCTACCAGAGTGTACTAAGTTACTGTTATAGAAATGGTAGGCTACAAGATCGTTTTTAAGAGAATAACTGAATTATACCTTGGCATTATTTACCTAAATTATGTTGTTCATTCACTTACAAACTTAAACCCAGGTACCCTCAGTGTTTACACATGTTAGAGCTGCTCCAATATGAACACTTCCGAAAGGAGCTGGTGAATGCTCAGTGTGCGAAATTTATTGATGAACAGCAGATTCTACATTGGCAGCACTATTCCCGGAAGCGGATGCGCCTTCAGCAAGCCTTGGCAGAGCAGCAACAGCAAAATAACACATCGGGAAAATGAAAAACTGGATACAAACGAGGCACTTAATACATGTATATAATGTATTTCTTTTGTACAGTGAAGACAAAAAAAATGAAAACTCTTCCTATCTACCTTTATTATGGTAGCCCCTAGAACCTTTAGTGTGCTTTTTCATCCAACTTTTTATTGTTAATAGACTATTTCTGTTAAACCTGAATTGTTCTTTGATTTCCCTGTGGATTTGTAAGGTGTTTTTCTTTTTTACGCATTTAGCATAATCAGCTGATTAAGAATGGAAAAGTTAGGTGCTTTAGACCAAATAAGGCACTGGGGCATGGGGTAGGGGTGGGCCACCAAGTATACTGAATTCTAAGGCTAGCTGTTCCTGACATATAGTAGGGCAAGACCATCTCCTGGAACCTTACTGTCTCAGATCAACTACTCTACCACTCTACTCTAAGATGTAGTGAGAGTAGCGGAGTCACTGACCTCTTTAAATCATAGGACAGGAACTGCATAAAGGTTCTTGAATTCTGCAGGACAGGAAATAACTGTATTACCTGCTTTGCAAGGTGGCTTTAAGAATCACTGAATCACTGTGGCCTCACTTGACCTAGTCATGGCAGGACAACTAGTGGTTAGTTACTAACTGGACTCTTGACTTTAGAACAAACATGAGGAGCCTCAAATACTTGTGTTCATTTGGGAAAGCTACCATTGATTTGGGAGGTACCACAAACCAGGTGCTATGTTAAGTGCTTCCTTGAATTCTCATTTTATTCTAAGAACCTTGTTTATAGAAGAGAAAACTGAGGTTTGGACGGGGTGAGTAACTTGCCTGTGGTTACACAGCTAGTAAGTGGTAGAGTCAGTGTGACTGACTCCCAGCTTGGAGTTCTTCCCAGAACTGGGTTATAGAGTCTTTCCGGCCGCTCTCCGCCACCTGCCTCATCCCAAGTAAAGCACATTGAGACAGCTGCAAAACAAACTGCTTCTAGTGCTCAGGAGTCTGTTTTTTATTAAACAAAACAAAACTGCCTGAATTAAGCAGAGGCTAGATTAGAGGTCATGTGCTTTCCTTCAGTGGTGAGGTTAGGTTCTACATTCCAAAATCAAAGAAGGGGTTTCAGGAATATCATCAGTTGCTTTGCAGATGGAGATAACTTAAAATAAAAGATACTGATCTTTTGAGAGATTTGGAAGGTGTGCTCTGCACCTTTAGGAGTTTTTAGGTATTTCCGTCACCTTCAAGAATACGTTCCTTTGAGCCTTTACTGCTATTTCTGAAGACTTCTTTATATCTTAAAAATATCCATGTATTACAGGCAAACTAAAGGTTCATGGGCATTTTAATAGCACTCTATTGTTTAGACACATGCCAGTTTTTTTAACATCATTTATTGCTAACATGAATTCAAAGCAAGTATACAGTTTATTGATACTAGAACAAATCAGGACATCAAGACATGATTGCCATCCTAAAATCTTAATCTTCAGAGAACAACATTTCCACCAGGTTGGCCTGAAGACACTCAGATTCTACCAGTTTTTGAGGCTGTAAGAGAAAAACAGTCAAATCTTCACTACTTCTATAAAACGTTATTAGGAGTGGAATGAGTTCTGCCTTGAATGACACTCATCTTTGAACACAGAAATTACGCAATTCAGAAACTATCATCTAGTTATAACAAGTTTTATGAAAGAATCAATATATTTGCTGTAAGATGAATCACTAACATACTTGGCTCAAGAGACTTAAACCCCAAATACCAGGAAGCTCCACAGACTAAAACAGGAGACAGCAAGCCCAGTGCCCTCTTCTTCCCCTCAACTCTTTAATTTAGGATCCCAGGGGCATGACTGAACTAGAAGAGATGCCCTTACTTTTTAACCAGAATTATGAATTAAACAGAAAACAACTGTTGATGCAAATGTTTTAAGGAATTATGAGTCAACCTACTTTCTGGTTTTTTAAGAGTGACTTAACATGAAAAAGACCTAATAGCTAGATATTTACATTATCAGTTTATTGGGATTGGCCATAGGAATGGACTTTCAGCAGCACTCTGAACAACAATGGAATTGAGATGAAATGTCAAGATCTTTTCAAATCTGGATCCACAGCAAGTTAAAAGAGTTCTGACAGTGAATTACAGGCCCAGCATATTTAAAGATACTTACTGTTCCATACTTAAGTAGTGTAGGCACTGCTGTTACTTTCAAGTTTTTTCTGAAGTCATTATTTGGATCTTTCCAACTATTCGAAAAGAAAAAGTGATCATGAAAAAAATTTACTTGGTTTATTACAGTTTGCTTAATATTTGACATAGTCCTACATTTAATTTTTTAGTAATCACTGTTCTTGCAAACACTTAAAAAACCTTGCGGACTATGGCTTAATCTACTAATTACCCTGTGCAAAGTTTCAAAGTGTGACTAAGATATAAAAGTAAAGCCAGCTAAGTTCTGGGCTTACACCAGACCAAATTCGTTGAATTACCCTTACTTAATTCAGGTGGGCATTTTAAATTTGTATTTAATAGCTTCTAATTGTTTAACTTGTCAGACATTACCTTGTAAGACAAACTGGGTAAGTAAGTCCCTGAGGCCCTTCCCGCCTAAGTATGCAATTTGTGCACGTCTGCGAGGTAGATTATACATTGCCACTTACTAAGGCTTTTCTCCTACTTGGCAGTAGATGAACACACATCCTTCACTAATGTGCTTCAGCCCCTCTCGTACGACTGGTTCAGCTTTAAAAAAAGTTGAGATAAAATAATCGCACGTCAACTCTACAATCAGGCACGTATAAACTGTGTTCTTTCCCCCTTCCCCCAGTCTTGGTAAGCACTCAGACTTTAACCTGCAGCTAACTGAAGAGGTCAACACAAGTCAGGTGTTCCCTTCTGGTCTTAGAGCCACGTTAAGGGTAAGGACCAAATCCCAGTCCCGATTTGCCCCTGCACCACCGCGCCCGTAACAATGGAAAGCACATGTATTTGCTGACCAACTCACGTATCCTGTAAGACACTAATGGTACTGGGGGAGTGAGAAGTTTTAAGGAACTAGATTCCAAGATCATCCGGGTAAGGTGGTAAAAGGAAGAGCGCTCTTGGCAGGGCGGGGTAGGATTTAATAGAAGGAGACTTGGGGACAGCTCAGATTGCTCCGCGGATGTCTGGAACCAAGACTCTGCCTCCGCTAAGCCCCCCTTCTGGCCGTAGGCTCGACCTTCCTGCCATTTCCATTGGACAGCAGCCCCCGAATCCCGGCCTCACCCTGCACGCAGTCGGGGCACCAGCTTTTCCCCCCGGCGTCCTTAGAACCCGTAAAGTAGGCGAAAATGGTCTTGCCATTGTGCTGTTCCACGGCCCGGTGGAACTCCTCGAAGCCGGACACGCTCACCTCCTCATAGCGGGCCATTGGCACGACGTGCAGCCGCTACTGGAGGAGTGCACGTCCGGTCGCCGCGGTTGGGTCCCGCGTAGGCGGGGCGAGGCTGTTTCCGGGTGGGCAAGAGAGGGCGGAGCCTGCGGAAGCCAGCGCCGCTAAAGACTACGGGAGCCTCTGACGACCACAATCCATCCGCATGGCTTTTTGCTCTAGTTCCTCAGATCTTTCTGCGCTAGCTGCACTCCCAAGCCCAGGCTTAGATCTACCCTAATCTAGTCCCAGCCCCGACCTCATGGACACTGGCTGCAAAACTTACCGCCTTGCAACACCTGGATCCTTAAATAGTTCAGGGCCTCAAAGGCTCCCAAGCCGCCCTGCGCCTGTTGCTATGGCGACTGGGCAGGCGGCCGGAAGCGCGGCCTTGTTGGGGGCCCCCGTTGCCCGCCTCCCAGTAGCCGCGCCTCACCCTAGGCCAGGTGGGCTCGGGCCGGGGCTGGGGGGGATTCTGGGAAGCCGCATAGAGTCATGGACTTGGGGGAGAGGAGATCTGACTCGGAAAGCCTTTGTTGCTTTGTCCCCCCAGTTACCTTTTCTGCCGTCTAGGCTTTACGGGGGCCTGGGACTGGGGGCGGGTTCCCGAGACTGGGCGGGGGTGGGATGGGTGAGGGGCTCGGAGGGAGAAAGGCTGCAAGGCCGGAGCGGAGTGTGTGAGTGCGTGTGTGGAGCAGCTTAGGGAGCGAGGTGCTAAGACATCCCCCAGGGCCGCGGTAGGGAGGAAGGGAACTGCCCTGGAGCTATGAGCCGGGAGACTCGCCGTGGGGCCTTGCCCAGGCTGCGCCGGGGAGAGCAGGCGGCTAAGATGCCGGGTCGCTGCGTGGGGCCCAGCAGGTCGGGGCGGGGGGTTCGGCGGCCGTGGGGGAAGAGACGGGGCGCAGGGACGTCCCGAGGCCGTGGAGCAAGGCGCCGGGCGAAGCCCTCGGAGTGGGAGACGCGCTGTGTGAGTGCAGAAAGGCCACAGGGCCGTCAGCGGCCATGGGGGACGAGACAAGCGGCGGAGACAGCCGACGCCGCCGGGGCGAATGAGGCTTTGGGAGCTCCTGGGACCCCAGGCTCCATCGAGGCTGCAAGGGACCCTGGGGCTGTGTGGGTGAACGGGGCTGTGGGGGAGCCCGAGGTGGTGGGGCTTGCCGGGGCTGTGTGGGTGACCGGGTCTGGGGAGGAGGAGACCGAAGATAGAAGTCCCCGGGGCTGCGAGAGAAAAGGTCGCCCGGGATCTCTGGGCCATGAGAGCATTCTGCACCTGTGGCTGAAGGTGCAGGCTATGAGGGCCGCCTCGGGATGTGGGGAAGGAAGTAGAGTCGAGCTCCATCCCGTGCCTGCAGGAGAGGGACCTGTCGAAAGGGGTGTTCCTGGCCGAGCTTCCTGGGTAGAGACAAGCCGCGGCGGTCTTACAGGGCCCTGGGTGAAGGAACAGGCAAGGGGGATCCCTCGGGCCCCCTCAGGGCCCACAGCTCTGGGCTTAGGGGCAGCTTACGAGAGAGCCTTAGGCTTCTGTGGACAGGGACAGGCTGGGAGGGTGCCTCCTGCGAGTGTGCCTGGGGCTTTGGCGTCAAGTTCTGAAATGGCCCCGCACCTGTGGAGGGGAGAAGCTGTGGGGGTTCCTGAGACTGGGGAGGAGATAGGCTATGGGTTTGTCTCAGGCCCTTGTGAAAAAGAACAGACTATGGGCGAGCCTGGGACCGTGGGGTGGACTGGGGCTGTGGGAGCGCCCAGAGCCATGGAGGGAGAGCTCGGCTGTGGCGGTGCTGCAGGTCTGTGGGGGAGAGGACAGTCCCCGCAGATTCCTGGGGCTCTGACACATGAAGCAGTCTGTGGGGCCACCCCTGGCGTATGGGGGAGGGGACAGGCTGTGGGGGTGTCCGATGCTGTGGAGGAGGAGCCTACTTCTGTGGGTGCCGCAGGTGTGTGTTACAGGAGACAGGCTGTGGAGGAGACAGACTCTGTGGGTATGCCCGGCCCGTGGGGCACAGGATACTCTGTTGGGGTGCCCTGTGCTGCTGAAGAGGAAACTAGATGTGGAGGTGACCCAGGGTTCAGGGAAAGGGGACAGCCTGTGTGGGTGGAGACAGGCTCTGGGGGTGATCCAGGGTCACGGGGAGCTGCGCAGACTGCAGAGTCATCATGTCCTGGGGAGCAGGCAGCAGGTTCTGGGGGTGCCCCAGGCCTGTGGGGGATACAACAGGCTACAGGGGTACCCAGGGCCTTGGGGAAGGACACGGGCTGTGTGAGTGTCCCAGGGCTGTGGGGAGCGGGACAGATGGTAAGGGTGCCCCAGGCTGTGGTGGTACCTGGAGCCCTGGGAGAAGAGCTGAGCCACAGCGGGGGCCTGGGCCTGTGGGACGGACAGCAAGCTCTTGGGGGGCCCCCAGCCGAGGCAGTGCCTGGGCTTGGAGAGGAGACCTGTAGTGGGAATGTTCTGAGCCCGTGGGAAAGGAGGCAGGCTGTGGGGGAGCCAGAGAGTCTGGGGCCTCCAGCTTTAGGGGTCCCTGGGTCAGTGGATCAGGAGGCTGGCTGTGGAGATGTTGCATGTCAGTGTGGGAGGAGGCAGGCTGTGGGGGTGTCTGAGACGGTGGGCATACCCAGGGCAGCAGATGTGCCCCGGCAGGGGTGTGCCGCAGCAGGGGTCCTCATGGCAATGGGTGTGCCCGGCTCTGGAAAGGTGCCTGCCAGAGTGCCTGCTGCTGTGTGGGCGTCTGGTCCTGTGTGTCAGGAAGGCAGCTCTAGAGACATTTTGAACCTGTGGGAAAGGACTCGGGCTGCCAGAATATCTGTGGCTTCGGGGGGACCCGTGGCTCGGGAGGAGCTGTGGTCTGGCGGGGAGGAATCCGTGGCTTCAGGGGGACCCGTGGCTCAGGAGGAGCTGTGGTCAGGCGGGGAGGAATCCGTGGCTTCAGGGGGACACGTGGCTCGGGAGAAGCTGTGGTCTGGCGGGGAGGATTGTGGTTCTGGGGCCTTCCCGGGCCCATGGGGGAGGAGACAGACTATTGGGGTTCCTGTGGTGCCTGAGGGGCCTGGGCTTGGGGGGGAGACTGACTCTGGGGGTATCCCAAGACCCTGGGGACAGAGACAGAGGGTCAGGGCTCCTGTGGCCACCGAAGTCCTTCTGGCTCCTAGGGTGCCTGGTTCTGTGGAGCTGGAGCCTGGTGATGGAGGCTTTTCAGGCTTGTCAGGGAGGCAGCAAACTGCAGGAATGCCTGGCACTGTGGGGCTGTCTGCAGCTAGTGGGGTGCCCGTGGCTCCCAGGGTGCCTAGGCCTGTGCAAGAGGAAACTGGCTCAGAATTGTGGGGTGAAAGAGAGACAGTGGGCGGACCTGCAGATGCCAAGGGTCCCACAAGGATGGAGGTGCCCACCTCGACCAGGATGCCTGGGCCCATGGCGGAGAAGACTGGCTCTGGGGGTGTCTCAGGTTTGTTGGGAGGCAGACAGACTACAGGAGTGTCCATGGCTGTGGGGCTGCTGGGGTCTGTGGGGGAGGGGACCATCTTTGAGCATGTCTCTGGCCTGTCTGGAAGAAGGCAGACTGCTGGGAGGCCTGTGGCTGCTAGAGGTTCCATGGCCGTGGGAGTGCCCACAGCTCCCGGGCTTCCAGGGCCAATGGTAGGGGATACGGGCTCTGGGGATGACGGCTCAGGCATATGGGGAAGGAGACTGGCCACTGAGGGGCCCACAGCTGCCAGGGTTCCTGGACCTGTGGAGGGGGAGACAGGCTCTGAAGGTGTCTCAGGCCTGTGGAGAAGGAGACACGGTGGAGCCATTCCCGAGGCCGGGAGGGTGCCTCTGCCTCTGGGGGTGCTTGCAGCTGTAGGAGCTCCCATGGCAGGGCGTGCGCCTGCTGCGGTGTGGGTGACTGGGTCCTCAGGAGCAGAAGCGGACGTGGGTGTCTCAGGTCTGACCGTGCTGAGGAGACAGTCCACAGGGGGAGTGGGGGCTTCAGAGGATGAGACAGGAGGTGGGAATATTTTGGGACTGGCCGGGGGCAGCCAGGCTGTGGGGACATCTCACACCTGTGTGCCTGGGGCCAGGTTATGGAGCTGTCCAAGGTCTTTGGGGGAAGAAACAGCCTATGAGAATGCTCTAGGCATGTCAGGGACAAGAACAGCTGTGGGGGTACCCTCAGTTTCAAGGGAGGAAATAGGCCTTGGCCATTTCAGAGACCACCTACAGCCAAGTGGGAGGAGGCTGGCTGGAGGAGTGTCTGCAGTCAGAGTGAGAGGGAGCAATTTGGGAGAGAGTTATGTGGGGGAGGCTAGATTGAGGGGGGCGTTCCAGTAGTGTGTGTAGGGAAGAAGTTGGGGCTGTGTGGGAGGGAACAGGTTCGGGGTAGGTTTGTCATGGGTTGCGGATGAAGGCACTGGCTGTAAGGGCATCTCAGCATGGGGGAGAGAGGGTTTTCGTGGAGATGCCCCAGGGTATGTAGAGGGACAAATTGGGACGTTTCCTGGAGCAGTGGGAAAGGGCCAGATTGCAAGGAGAGTCCCAGAACTTTGTACAGGGGGACAGTTTAGGGGTGGGTGTCCCTGGACTTTGTGCGTGTGTGTGTATGTGTGTGTGTAGCATCACTTGAGGCATGCTGGAACTGTGGGGATCACCTAGTTTTTTTCTAGTGGAGAATGGACTATTTGGCCCTTGGCACCTAGAAGCAGCCAGGAGGGAAGTACTGACCATTTAAAAGTGGCAGATCTCCGGGCCCCATTTCTGCAGCCTTCATTCTGCAACTCCAGCCACCCACCTGTGCCAACGTCAAGCCAGTTGGGATTGCCTTGCTCATGTGCCTCCTCCCATCTGCTTTTTTCATGTGTGCTACAGCCTTAGAAATAAGGACTCTTAGACAGCTGTCTTTATGTTCCCAAGAAGTATCTGTCTTTAAGCAAATCTAGTCTGCAAATTTTGGATTTATTCAAAAGCTTAAATTAGGGTTTTTTTTAAAAAAACCTTGAATTTCCCAATTGATTTACTGTAGGATTTTTTGAGAGAACAAATTCCCCAGAGATTTAAAACTAGTCAGTTCACAGAAAATCAGCTTAACTCAACAAATGCTAAATTGTGTACTATGCTCAGAGCACTTTGTAATGGGAAATAGAAGAGCAAGACAAGGCCCTTCCCCTCAAGTCGCCTTGTCTGGCTGGGAAGATGAGACATGTACATGTGAAATAGGTAAATAACAGTATGAGACAATACTATACGTGATCAGTACGTGAGTGGCAGGGATAGTAAAGTCTATAATGAGGCCTTCAGAATAGGGCAAGGCAATGATAAGGGTGTAGCCCTTGATAGCTTACCGAGTGCTTTCATATCTATTATCTTGTGTACATATGTATAGGGTGGGGGAAAGATTGGGGGAAATGAAGATTGAGAGAAATCATTCAGCTCTCCAAATGGCAGATCCTGGCTTGAATCGAGGAATTCTGATGCTACAGGTTTACTTAGAGTCATTGAGAGTTATATGCCTTCGGGCCACCTGACAGAGTGAAGCATACTGCTTTCTGACTAGTATTAAGACTTGTTAATGTAGACTGCTTGTCCAAAAACCACCCTGCTGGAACATGCTAGTTTACCATGGCAAAGCTCTGTTTTGGGAATAACGCCTTGCTGGAGACCTTTGAGATTTGAAATTTGGAATGGAAAGGGCTCAAGAGATTATTATTAAAATAGTAAGTGTTCCCCTATTTTTTTTTGTTTTTGAAATTGGGAACTTCCAAAGTGTGGTTGCTTTTATAAATGGAAGAAACTATCATTTACCTGTCATTAAGCAGTCACTCTCAGTATGAGGTTACTATTGGCTACTTCTAGTATATTGCTACATGCACATGGCACTGTGTTTTATCTGTTCTTTTCCCTTGTTCAACGCTGTTGGTCTGAAGTAGCTTTGTTTCGTTTTAGGAATGGTTTTAGGGAAGACTGTTGCCGGATGACAAGGCTGTCACTATTGTTCTGTACTACCTGACATTATGGGACCAGGCCAGCCAGCTTCAACCTGTGTTCATCTAGCACCTAGGACCCAACTTGATGGGAGGAGCGACCCCAAAGTACTTCAGACCCAGGTAGTTCTATTTTTGCCTGAGATTTTTATTATTAAATATTTCAAACATAAAATTTGAAAGAAAAGGACAGTGAACACTTTTGAAATCACCTCCTAGATTCAGCAATTGCTAACAATTTTTTCTGTTTTTCTACCTACTCAACCATCTGTCTTTAAAATTTTTGCAGAATCACCCCAAAGCAAATTGCAGTCAACCTGATACTTCTAAATATTTGAGAATACTTCTCCTAAAAATGAACTCTCCTACTTAATCATGATACTATTCTTATACCATTTCTTATAAGAAATGGACCCAAAAAATTCCCTGTTATCCAATAACCAGTCTTTATTCAGCTTTACTCAGTTGTCTCAAAAATGTCTTTTCCCCTAGCATTATATTATGAAAATCTTTAAAAATACAGCAAAGTTGAATTTTACAATGAACACCTCACCTAGATTCCATTATATTTCACTTACTTGTTTCGTTGCATGTCTGTCACTCAGTCATCCCTCTAGAGATCCATCCATCAATCCATCTTATTTTTTGACACATTTCAAAGTCAATTGCAGGCATGAGTATCCAAACTACTTCCATATGCATGTTGTACATTAGAATTCACTCTGTTTAGGGCCAGATGCGGTGGCTCACGCCTGTAATCCCAGCACTTTGGGAGGTCCAGGCGGGCGGATCACCAGAGGTCAGGAGTTCGAGACCAGCCTGACTAACATAGTGAAACCCCCATCTCTACTAAAAATACAAAAATTAGCTGGGCGTGGTGGTGCACACCTATAATCCCAGCTACTTCGGAGGCTGGGGCAGGAGAATCGCTTGAACCTGGGAGGCAGAGGTTGCAGTGAGCAGAGATTGTGCCACTGCACTCCACCCTGGGTGACAGAGCGAGACTCCATCTCAAAAAAGAAAAAAAAAAAAAAAAAAGAATTCACCCTGTTTACTGATTTTTTTCTTTCAATATACATTTTACGTCAGAAATGGTGAAAGATGTACACATTGCAATGTGTACATCTTTTCACATTTGCTGAGTTTTGACAAATGCATACATATGTGTAACCCATACCTCTATCAAGATACAGATCATTTCTGTTATCCTAGAAAGTTCTCTTGATGCCCCTTGCTAGATAACCCCCACTCCTCCCCTCCAGAGGCAGCCACTATTCTTATTTTTTCCACCACAGATTAGTTTTCCCTGATCTAGAACCTTATATAAATGGGATTTTATATTTTTTTGGTGTTAAGACATTTCACTAGCTGTAAAGTTTTTGAGATCCATCCTTGTCATTGCATGTATCAGTAGTTTATTCCTTTTTAATCCTTTTTTCTCATTCCATACTATGAGTATACCACAGTTTGTTTATCCGTTCTCCAATTAATGGACACCTGGGCTGCTTCCAATTTGGGATTATTATAAATAAAGCTGCTATGAACATTCTTATACAGATCTTTTTATGAACATGTTTTCATTTCTTTTGGGTAAATATCCAACAGTGAAATTGCTGAGTCATGGGGTAGGTGTATATTTAGTTTTATAACAAACCATTGGACCTTTTTACATAGTGGTGGTACCGTTTTACATTCCTGCTGACAATGTATGAGAGCTCCAGTTGCTCCACATCTTTGCCAACACTTGTTGTTGTCTCTTTAGCCATTCTGGTGGGTGTTTAATAATATCTTATCGTGGTGTACAAAGAAATTTAAAAAAATTTTTTGACATAATTTCAGACTGACAGAAAAGTTGCAAGAATAGTCCACAGAATTCCTGGATACTCTTCTCCCAGATTCCTCAAATGCTAACATTTTGCTACGTATTCCCTCCTTCTCTCTCTCACTATCTCTATACACACACAAATTATTTTCTAAACCATTTAAGAGTAAATTGCAGACACAGTGCCCTTTTACCTCTAAGTATTTTTTTCCTGAAAATAAAGAATTCTATTATATAACCATAGTACAATGATCAGAATCAGAAATTAACATTAAATCGATACCATCATGTAATCTGCAGACCTTACTGAGATTTTGTTAGTTGTCCCAATAGTGTCCTTTATAGCAAAAGAAAATCCAAGATCATAAGGTGCATTACATTGTCATGCCTCTGTAGTCTCCTTTAATCTGATTTCTGAGTCTGTTTTTAGGTTTTGTGACATTGATTTTTTTTAAGAATATAGGCCAGTTATTTGTGGATTTTCTCTCAATTTAGATTTGCCTGATGTCTTCTCACAGTTACATTCAGGTAATGCACTTTTGGCAGGAGAACCACTGAATGATACTGAGTGCTTCTCAGGACACCCTATCAGCAAGTACATGCTGCCAATTTAGTCCCAGCACTAGCAGTGTTGACTTTCACCATTTGATTAAGGTGGTATCTGCCTGGTTTTTTCATTGTAAAGTTACTCCTTTGCTTTTTGTAATTATTTGTCTTGGAGACTATGTTAATGTCTTTTTAACACCTCAAACTTTCACCAACTACTTTTAGCATTTTTGCCTGAATCAGTTTTTTATTATGGTGGTTGGCAAATGGGGATTTCTAATTTTACCCTTCCTTCTACATTTACTTGTTGCCTTACTCCTTGCAATCTGGCTCTTTCCCACTGCTCCAGGAAACCCCTTCTTTTCCTAGTACTTACTTATTTATTTCAGCACAGACTCATTATTATTTTTATTCTCATTATTTATTTTGATGTGCAGATATTTATTTTGATGTTCAAATGGTCTTTGATTTAGCCAGTGAGAGCCACTTCTAGTTGGCCCCAGTGTCTCTTTGACATGATCTCATCAGTCTTTGACCACTTTATGGTGTAAAAAGACACTCCAAGGCTGGGCGTTGTGGCTCATGCCTGTAATCCCAGCACTTTGGGAGGCCAAGGCAGGAGGATCACTTGAGGTCAGGAGTTCAAGACCAGCCTGGCCAACATGGTGAAACCCCATGTTGCTAAAACCCCATCTCTGCTAAAAAATACAAAAAAATTAGCTGAGCATGATGGTGCACACCTATAATCTCAGCTACTTGGGAGGCCGAGGCAGTAGAATCACTTGAACCCAGGAGGCGGAGGTTGCAGTGAGCCAAGATTGTGCCACTGCACTCCAGCCTGGGTGACTCCGTCTCATAAATAAATAAATAAATAAATAAAAGATACTCCAGGCTCAACTTGTCTTTTCTTTGTCCTGGCCCTGGAATTAACCATTTATCCAAGGAGACTTTGATTCTTCAGTGGAGAATGAAATTTAAAAAATCACTATCTGGGGCTGGATGTGCTCCTTGATACTATCATGTCATTGTTTTAGGCCCTCTCAGAGGACAGAACTAGGAAATAGATGTATACTTGTGTGCATATACATACATGTACACACATTCATAAATGCACACCCGTACTCACATGTCTGTAGCTACACTTTCTCATCTCCTTCCTGTTTCTTTCTTTCTCTTCCCTTCCTCCTTCTCTTGCTGTCTATGTATCTTTCTGTGTCTGTCTGCCTATATGTCTGTATTAAAACTCACAAGTTCACACAGGTATCTCCAATTCAAATCCAACACTACATATTTCCAACTCCCTTGTCCCAGAGCATGAAAGCTGGCTATCATTATCCACAATATATTTACTTTTTTGCTCAGTTCTGGAATGTACAAAAGGTAGTTTCTGAATTGTAATCCGTGTCTCTGCTCAAGAAGAAGCCTGCAAAATTAGAGTTCAGTATTTGTTTAGAGTACATCTGTCTTTAGCCTGACGGCATATAGTCCAAATGCTATATTCAAAAGTTACTGGGGTTAATTTTTTTCATCTTCACTTTTTAGCGTGGTTATGTTACTTATCTGAGATTCAGTTTGGTTCATTGGTTTCTGTTGGTATTTATTTGGGGGTTTTCCACTATCCTTATGGATTTTTTTTTCCTTCCTTTCCCTCTTCCTCCCTTCATTCATTCATTTCTTTCTTCCTGTCTCTCGTGTATATGTGAAACATTAACATGGTTCCAAATATACAAAAAGGTATATTCAGAAAAGTTATCTGCTACCCCATTCCCTCTGTCCTTTCCTTCCTATTCCTACCAGTTCCCTGTAGATAACTAATCTCATTAGTCTCTGATTTTTGTTTTCTGTTTCTTTTTGCACAAGTGATTCAGATGTATATATATTTTCTCATGTCTTCTTTTCTTATATGAAGGGTAGTGTATTATAAATATACTTTTTGCGCATAGTGCTTTCTGCTGAACAATATATTCCAATCTCTCCACATTAATTCATAGAAGTGTCACAGAGATCTTCCTCATTTTTGTTTTATATCTTCATTTTACTCCAGTTTGTGGATAGACCATTGTTTACTCAGCTACTCTCCTTCATGGGGACTCAGATTGATTCTAATAATTTACAGTTACAAACAATATAGCAGTGAGTAACCCTGTACATGTTTATTGTTGGAGGTGTGTCTACAGGGTAAATTCCTAGAAGTGAGACTCCTGGGTCAAAAGTTAAATGTGATACTTGTCCTTCAAGTTGCCTGCTTGGGTCTCTTTCAAGTGTCTTTTCTTTCTTTCCTGTGCTAAATCTTTTTAATTAAAAAAAAAAGTGATGAATGCATGGTGTTTTTGTTAGCGATTGCCAAATTCCCCTCCATAAGAATTATGCCAATTTGCATGACCACCAGCACCTCTTCTATGAGGGCGCCTGCTTCCCACAGCCTCACCAACAGCATATATTGCTATACTTTTAAATTTTTGCTAATCGGTTGGGTAAGAGATGGTATTTCCATGTATTTTTAATTTGTGTTATGAGATTGAACATCTTTTTATGTACTTAAGGACCTCTTTTTTGGTAAATTGGTCATATGTTTTTCCCTGTTTTTATTCAGTTTTGATCTTTTTATACTTCAATAATTATTATTATAATTATTATTATTATTTAGACAGTGTCTTCCTCTGTCACCCAAGCTTGAGTGCAGTGGCTTAGTCTCAGCTCGCTGCAACCTCCACCTCCCAGGCTCAAGCGATTCTTGTGTCTCAGCCTCCTGAGTAGCTGGGATTACAGGCATGTGCCATCACGCCTACCTAATTTTTATATGTTTTTTAGTAGAGATGGGGTTTTGCCATGTTGGCCAAGCTGGTCTCAAACTCCTGACCTCAAATGACAAACACCGTTCATCAGTCTGTGTATCTTTCAGATGGTACCTATTTGTTTTTTCTTTAGTGAGCTTTCTAACTACTTTTTAAAAATCCGAAATACTTCCCTGAAGTTTTGTCACAATTGATTATTTTTAAGTGACTCTTGATGCCTGTAATTATATAAACACATTGATTGTGAGAGCAGGGGAGGCCATCTCCAAGGTCACGGCATCACAGGACTGGGTTCATTGAATTTGTAGGCATGGATTCTCCTCAGGCTATTGACCGGTCTTTGACAGGTTCATTCTGGTAGGCCTAAGGAGGGTACATATTTAAAGCCATAAAATCGTTTCTTTCCTTTAACCTGATAATCCCAGAACAGATCATTTATCCTAAGGAAATAATTTTAAAAGGTTAAAAAACTAAATGCATGGAGACATTAATTGAGGTAATATTTCTATTAGTGGAAAAACTGGAACAATCTAAATGTTTAATATTAACATTATAGTTAGGCATGAAAAGACCATTCATTGGATTTTGGAAAATGCAACAATGATAAATAAAAGCTGTAGGGATATAGAAACATGTTTATGTTTAAGTGCAAAACGAAACAAAACTTGTATTTATTATGAGGAAAACTGACAAAAACTTGAGCCTGTGTAAGAAAGCATAAGCGGACTGTTTCAAGTGAGATACACTTAGGGGCAGGGTAAAAGATGGATCCAGCCACCAAATGAAGTCTCAGGAAGACCTGAAGAAGTACTATCAGATGGCTTGGATCTATCCGTGGAGCAAATTTTAAGAAAGCTTCAATGGGTTATATTGGTCACTTGCTGGGGCCTGACATTTTGAAATAGGACAGAAGTCCATAACTGGGAAATTGAAGGACTTAGTGGTTGCTGCTTGAAGCTTTCTGGGTTTACTTTTAGAGATGGTTCCCAGTATGACATTAGTAAACAGAAGGATAATAGTATGGGACTGGATGATTATAGGATAGAACCAGGGGTATGTGATGAACCCAAGGGTGTAGGAGCGTGGCTGTGTCTATCAGTAAAACAGAAAAATGCCTCTTAGCACTAATGATCTGGTGGCAAAATTTTAGAAATTTGATTATAGACATATACCAACTGTGCAATATGAAATTTTTCTGATGTCTGCTTACTTTTATTTGCTTTTTAAAGAACCAGCTGCAGTTTAATAGGAATGTTCCTACACATTCAAGCAACTTGGCGATCCGATATTCTTGCCCACATGCCATTAGAATTGAAAAACTGAAGCACTCATACAATGAATCATACCATTGTAAAGATGCAGATTGTAGAGTTGGTCCTGACCTGGGCAGTTCTGTTTCATTTTCCGTCATATCCCAAGAGAGACTTAGCTATGCTGTCCACCTAGCCAGAAGAGATGTGAAACGAAGACAATTTGAAAAACATATAAAAGAACATCATCTCAGAAGTCAGCCTCAAAGCTCTCAGAAGTGTGGACATACTAAGTATAAAATACCCGACCACAGGGTGGAAAGGAAGGAATCAAAGAGTCAAGCAGCCTGTCAGTGTAGCCACCAGCCATCCAAAGTAGAAATCTCCAGCTCTGGTGCCAAAGTATACCTTTACTCATCTCATCCAGGCCAGTCAGATCTTACTGTGCCAAATTCGCCACCCACCCATGATCCGGGACTTCAGCCTCATCCCAGGATAGGTGACCACAAAAACATAAGTGAACAGAAAAGCCTGCTAGAAGTCCAGCGACTCCAGAAAGAACTGAGCAGTTGTATCCACAAAATTGAAGAGGTAACTAAAAAAGGTGAGAAAAATTAGATTCTTTACTTCGACCTAAGGCTGTGATTATGGGGTAGTTTAAATGCATTCCTTGAGGACCCTCAACCCCTATAGCAATTTCATTCTTTCCTTCTGTGAGTTGGTTCACTGGAGTGTGAGTACTCAGGACAAGACAGTTAGGCTTGGAGTTTGAACAGTGTCTTGCCCCAGCTCCTCTTTCCAGCGGAGGGACATGAAAGAACTTCTTCACTGTGGCTGCCCTTCAAATGTCCACTGACTGAGGGCCCAGCCTACGAGGTGGCATTAATGTTGGCTGAACCTTAGGTCTTCTGGGACCTGAGTGCAAATTATCCTATAATGTTTTCCCTCTTCTGGGAAAATTATTTTTCAATTTGCTTGAAAAGAGAGCATAATGTATTTATATTATAGGTAAAACCAGTTCTCACTTGGGCAGTATTTAGGTGAGTACACACCAGTGACAAGGGAAGTTGTGGGTATATGTGTAAAGTGAGCACAGGGTAGGAAGGAAGGAATTTAATCATCATATATGGTTTTCTACAGTTCTGCAGTGTTCTCAGGGCCCTTGTATTTCCCTGCTGAGTAGAAGACTGGTTCCACGTGGAGAATTTGGGGTTACCGTAACTAACAAGTAGGGAACCAAGCCCAGCTTTCAGATTGCAAGGGGTATGGAGTTGAGCATCAAAAGAAACCGTTGCACTAGGGTAGTACATAGTCTAGAATTATTTTTTGCATTTTCAATTTAATTAATATATGCATATGTACCTATATGCATCTTATGAAAGAATTTAAGGTACCTTAAGAAATACCTGTGATTGAATAAGATAAAACAAAAATGCACATGAGGATATTGTGGCAAAGGAAACAATAAGGAAAGGAAAAACATTTACTAGGGATGAGTCACAGATTTGCTTCTGAGCTTCCTAGGAGCCAGCTAAAGAGGGAACGTCAAATCACTTGGAGAATTTACAAAGTCTAAGACAGAAAAAAACAATTGTGTAAGGAAAACAATTATTCCACATATTAAGGCCAGAAAGAAATTTCTCCTGTAGGTCTTCTTAAAGAGTGTGTTGTATAATATCATGAACAATTCAAAACCATTCCAGCATAAAAATAACAGAAATGTTGTGGCTTGTTTCTCTTGATATTCCTTAGTGTCAGCCTGTGGCATGGACCCCTACCTACTTTGATTGGAAGCCCTGCGACCAGGGGAACAAAGCCACAAGGCCCACTGCTCTGGTGATCTGGCCTAATACCGGGGAACTGTTAGAACAGAGCTTTCAAAGTCTCTGTGGGGAAGGACTGGGTTGGTTTATTTTATTTACATGAATTTTCAATGTGTCATAAGTCAATACTTTGTGAACTATAATAAAAATGTCACAGTAGCGGCAAACTGCTATGGAAACACGTAAACATATACTTTAAATTTCTGTACTTACCTTTCATGGATTAATAATATTTTGCGATGGCCCCTGGCTGCAGACCCCCTTTGAAGTAGCCCCGAAGGCCCATTTGTGCTTCCCAGTGCTGCTCTGTAGACAGCTGCAGGCGCTGCATGGGAATCATCTGCAGTGAGCCTTCAAACCCCCCACCTAAGCCCGTTCCATTTATGTTCATAGAAGTATGTGAATCCGGATTTTCCCCTACCATGCAGCCCAAACGAGATGAAAGTAATTAGACATATAGGGTCTCTTGAGACTGCATCTGTATCTACAACTCCTGACTTCAGATTTTTGCTTTCTTCAAAACAGCCTTATACTCTTTGCATTGTTTGATGTTTTAAAGAGTAAATATTAAAAATTTGAACTTATAAAATACACTTTTACTAATTGAAGACTCCCTTTTCTTTGATAATTGGAGTATATTGGAGTTTCGTATAAGAATTTGTTTGTATAAGTGTATTTGAAAACCACAGCCTGGAAGGAATAGATAGATTGCATCTTCTTCAAACAGTTTTCCAGAAACAATTTCTTTGAACCAATCTTTTCAAGATATAGAGTACCAGTGTGTACAAGGGTATGCTTCCTGAGAAATACATGAAGACTCTAGACACTCAAATAATTTTGAGACTTGCTATCTTAATATGTTAGAGAAAAGACTTGTCTTTTGAAATCAAGATTAAGGCTGGGCATGGTGGCTCACACCTGTAATCCTAGCACTTTTGGAGGCTGAGGCAGGTGCATCACTTGAGGCCAGGAGTTTGAGACCAGCCTGGCCAACAGGCCAAAACCTTGTCTCTACTAAAGATACAAAAATTAGTTGAGTGTGGTGGTGTGGACCTGTAATCCCAGCTACTCAGGAGGCTGAGGCAGGAGAATCACTTGACCCGGGAGGTGGAGGTTGCTGTGTGAGACTGGTGACAGTGTGAGACTCTGCCTCAGAAAGAAAAAGAAAAAAATGTTTACAATAAGATGCTATCTTAATGTCTCTCTCTCTTTTTTTTAATTCTTCTCTTTTTTAAGACAGTCTCATTTTGTCACCCAGGCTGGAGTGTAGTGGTGCGATCTCAGCTCACTGCAACCTCCGCCTCCTGGGTTCAAGCAGTTCTCCTGCCTCAGCCTCCCGAGTAGCTGGGATTACAGGTGCACACCACCACGCCTGGCTAATTTTTGTATTTTTAGTAGAGACAGGGTTTTGCCATGTTGGCCGGGCTGGCCTTGAAATTCTGACCTCAGGTGATCCGCCCATCTCAGCCTCCCAAAGTGCTGGGATTATAGGGGTGAGCCACCACTCCTGGCCAGGATTTCTCTTTTGAATTCAACATTTGATTATTCTCTATTAAACAGCAAAGACTAAAGACCATGTTAAGTGTCTTTCAGGACATATTTAGTGGCTGATCAATAGGCATTTATTAATACCTTCTTTACATTGTAAAACTAATCTTGCTAAACATAAAAACAGGCCAATAAAAAGTTTTTGAAAAAATAGCAAGAATAACAGATTTTGGCTCAATATAAGGAATTCTAAAATAGTAAGAGGTGCCTCATAGTGAAATCGCTGTCCAGTGGGAATTCTGGCTGGAGGGGAGCTTGATGGAGTAAATGTCTTTATGTCCCTTCCATCTCTCAGTCAGTACACAGCTCCACTTACTGCTGGTTTCTTGGCTGATGAAAAATGAAATTTTCTGTTATGATAGCCTCATTTTTTTCTTAATAAAACCAGAGATCTTCAACTTTATTATTTCTGTAAGTAATTGAAGTCTTTGTAAGTTTTAATATATGGTTTATAATCCACTTTTGGGGAAAACTATTAATATTTTCAGATAGACTAGAAGAAGCTTTGGATCCAGATGAAGAACGTCGAATCCGTATCAGGAGACAGGAGCAAGCTGCTCGCTCTGCCCGAATGCTCTACGTCCTCCAGCAGCAGGTGTGAAAAGTTCAGGGAGAAGTAGGGCAGTCAGCCTTGTGTACTGCTTCCTTAGAGAGTTTCTGTTTTCCTTTTGTCTCAGAAAGATTAGCACTAGAGTATCCCATATGAGTTCTGACAGATTTGTGAGGCTCAATTACCTGAACACATGGGCAAATAATTCTCTTTCTTTTTGTAATCTGCGTGTGTGTGTGTGTGTGTGTGTGTGTGTGTGTGTGGCGCCAAACTCCTTAAACTGGTTCTTGACTTTATGAGGTCATAGACCTTTGAGAATCTATTAAAAGCCACTCCTCCCCACCCCCAAGATGCTTATACATTATATAGCACATATTTTTGCATGGGAAGTCAGGTGGATCAGTTACCCTGAACCCTTGGTCCTAGCTATGGACCCCAGTCTTAGAGGAAAGGGACCTTGTTAGTTTCCCATCTATTTCATGTTTATAATGTATAGAAGCTTGTAATAGTAAATAATTTGGTAAACAGCAAAGAGTAAAGACCATGTTAAGTGTCTTTGAGGACATCTTTAGTAGCGGATACACAGGCATTTACGTTCTTTACATTGTGATGGATTTTTAAAAAGTGTTTGTTGTGACTTTCATGCCTTATACATTAGTAAGCCTTTTACTCATTTCTGGTCACTGAAGTCACATGTTAGCCTTTATTGCTTGAACCAAAAGCTGTACTTTTTCATTTAAAAGAAAATGCCTGAGTTAGGTTTTGCAGTGTATTCTTTTGGGTTCTATTTCAGTTCTTATTCTACACTGCTGCCGTAGAGATTGCTCTAAAACATGAATCTTACCATGTCAGACCTCTGCTTAAAAGACTTTAGTGGCTCTCTGTAACTTAGAGGATGAAAGCTAAACTCTTCAGCGTGGCATGTAAGACTTCACGATCCGGCCCGCCTACATTTCCAGAGTCACCTCCACCTTCACTCCTTCATGCTAAATTCCTATTACACTGGGGACGAAGGGATGGAAGGTGAACACTGCCTATTCACTATCTTGAACTGGAAACCAGTAACTGTTTTTTGGGTGCATGAATGAAGAGCCTTTTTTTCATTTTCAAGTGACTTGAATTAATAATGGTTATATTTGGACAAGAGGAGATATATCGATGCATCCTTTTCTACAAAAAAGATCAATGGAAAGGTATGAAGTTTTCTTTTTTCCCCTTTACAAAACAGGTAAAAGAAATCCAGGAAGAATTGGATAAATTGAGTCCACATAAAATTAAACACACTAAGAAGGTATGCTGCAATTAAATTATGATCAATACTTGCTTATAAATGACATTTCCCAGTGTTTTGTTAGTATTGTGTAGGGCCCTCTGCACTAATGTTATTTTCAGTACTTGCAGAAACCTGTTAGTGAGGGAGTGAGCACCTTACATATTCTGAATATGGTTGCCTTCTAAGGAACAGGTTCTAAAAAATAGATTTTTGTTGTTGTTGCTGCTGGTATAAAAAATTGGAAGTAGTAAGGAAAAGACTGCCACTAGAAAACTTTAAACTTTACAACTCCCTTTACTATGAAAAAGTTTTCACAATAGAAAGCACTTTATACAGAAAGAAGACAGGCTATAAATATTCTTAGAAGTTGGGTGAATGTTAGCAAGTTCTGAGTATGGAAATAACTTCTCTCATCTTGTTTATTACCAGTCATGGGCAATGTCTAAGCTGGCGGCTGCCCATCGAGGAGCCATTCGGGCCTTACAGATGTTTGTCACTCAGTTTACTGACCGAGGGGAGCATCCACTTCCTGCTCGGTGTAAGGAACTGGGCAGCCTTATTCGCCAGCTTTCACTTTGTTCTGTCAAGCTGGATGCAGACCCTTCTGTTCCTGATGTGGTTATAGATATTCTGCAACAAATTGAGGTATGGAATTAATTCCAATTTTTGTTAGAGGTGCATTGGAAGTAATGCTTACTATTACCTAGTTTCGTTAGGATTTATGGAGAATACAAGACAAAGCCATTACCTAGTGAATTAAAGCTTTGCAGAGGGCAGAAGAAACACTTCTTTTTGTTTTGCTATTTTTACAGTGTAGTCTGTATTATCGTATTTCACTGCTTCGAAAATTGGTAACTTGAATATAAAACATGTAACAACTTTAAACCAGGTTCATTAACTAAACAGAATGTCCCATTCCCTGGCCCATGCCATTTGAGAAAAAAATTTATTAGCATAGAAAAGGAAACCAGTAAAGCATTCTTAGATTAGAATATCAGTGTTTAATTTAGATGGATTTTGGAAAAGAAGAAACACTTAAAGGTACAGTATATGGAATCAGAGCCTCAAATCTTGTGATATAGCTAGAGACGTCTAGAAATCACAGCTGGCATGTATTAGACAGGAATTGATAGTGTTCTTAGTTTTCATTGGTGACAAAGACACATTAATTTTATAGCTCTCTGAAGTTTGCATGGTGTTTCCATGTAATTATGCCATTTGACCCTTTCTATGGCAGTATGCTTTGCAATGGGTTTTACTGCTGTTGTACAGGTTAAATTTTTTTAGAAAAGCAAACATCGGAGAGATGACAGTTATTTTTCTTGAGAGCTAGGCATCAAATTCTATTTTCTGACTCCCATGCTAGTATTAGTTCCCCTACGCCATACATTTTCATCCACAAATAGAAAGGTGATCTTTATGTTAGCATGGCAGAGTAAGCTGTTAGCTGTAGAAGAAAGGTGGATAGTGGAGAGAATTCTAGACTAAATGACACTCCAGTTCTACCACCATTAACCAGCTCTTGGTGGTCTTTAAGGCCACTTCTGCCTTCACAGTTTCATTATCAAGCAAATGTGTTTGTGATTTTCATTGGTTACATTCGTGTATATAGAACTCACTGTGAGGAATGCTGTTGTCAAATGCAGACCTCAGAATTTTAGGCAGCATCTCAAGTCATGTGATGCTTTTTTAACGTATCCGTAAGAAACATTTATTGGCCAAAATAATTTAGAGTACACATCTTCATAATCCTATAAAGGATCTGAAGAAACTCTCTAGTCCCTCTCCTACATTTTGAGCTTGAGTAAGAGTACCTTTAACCTAATGTTTCTTAAACAGAATGTTTATCTCCCCTACTTTTCAAAATGCAAGAAATGTGTTATTTTTCCTCTTGTGGCCCTACATCATTTCACAGCATGTTTTCTTACTATATTACTGTTCTCTGAACTAAATCTTCCTGACCGTGTTCAGTTGTCCTTAATCTGTCCTGACCAGGTGGAGACTGGGCCCTGACTTCCCAGTAATGGATGGGTGGGAACTTATTAGAGGAAATGCCTTTTTTTAGGAAGGTGAGACACAGACCCTCCACTCTTATTGACCTATTAAGTGGTCTTTAGTTCAGGAAAATGTATGTTAAATACAGTATGTGTGCCCACTTAAAAGACTGAGTTTATGAGATTTTTGTTGATGATTAAAATGCTTTTGAAGCAGATGGGATAATATTCTGAAGACTATAGTTAATTTCTAAAATGATGATCCTTTAAGATTTGAATGCCTTTAAAAGTAGTCATATTCATTATGTCTTTGCTATTGGCTTTAGTGAGCTACACATCTGAAAGTACTCACAGAAATTGTTACTAATTAATTAGATATCCTAAATAATAACATGTTTTAATTAAGATTGTGTTAACTGTTAGAGATAGCCATTTAATAACACATTTCCCTGGAGTCCTTATTTTCAGTTTTGTGATTAAAAGTCATACTTTTGCGAGATAAACTAAGAGAATAATTGATTGTTTTTGTGGCAGGCTTTGGAATCTCTCCTGGAAAAGAAACTGTCACCAAAAAAGGTGAAAAAATGTTTCAGTGAAATTCGGAGCAGATTTCCTATCGGTAGCCAAAAGGCCTTGGAGAGATGGCCAAGTACATCACCAAAGGGTGAGAGGAGGCCCCTCACAGCAAAGGACACATTCCCACAGGAAACAAGTCGACCTTCTGTAGCAAAGCAGCTTCTTGCCGGTATGTGTCTTAAAGTGTTTATTGTAAGACATTTTATTCATTACAATTATCTGGGCTATAACAGTTACTGCACTGAGGGGAAAGTCAGGATTTAGGACCTAGCCCACAACAGATGAACTTTAACTAGGATCAGTAAATAGCAACCAAGATGTTTCCTGGGGCTGGAGGCATTCTATAGAGGAAGGTTGAGAAAGTAACATTTCCTTTGCTACATCATAGTGTTTGGGCTACCCAAGGCAAATTCCCATAGAGCTGGAAGTTAGAACCCTACTTTAAAAAAAGTTTATTTTATTTTAATGACAGAGATATGTACACACACAGAGACACACACATACATTCTATATATATATGTGTATATATATATATGTATTTTTTTTTCCTCAGATAAATTTTTGTTATTCTAAGAAGTGGAATTGTTAGGTGATAACAGTACGTACATTTAAACAGATACTGCCAACTTGCCCCTTAAAAGTGGGCACACATTTATGTCTTGACTAGAAGTGACATCAGTATATATTTCCCCACATCTTCACCAAGTATGTTATATAATAAAATTTTAAAAGCTTTCCAGTATCAGTGGACAGTGGCATCTTCTTGTTTTCTGTTACATTTTCTGATTCCTGGTGAGGGTTGTCGTTTCTTCACATGCTCCTTAGCCATATTATTTCCTCTTCTGTAATTTGCCTGTTCATATTCTTTATCCATCTCCCTGCTGGGTTCTAAGTATTTTGCTTATGGATGTATATGTTAGGATACTGCATTTTGTTGGTCTGAGGTACACATTTGAATGCTCCTGAAATCATTATTAATTGATGACAACTTGTAGTTAATTGTAACATTTTAAAATTGTAAACATTTTAAACATTTAAAAATTCCTGGTGATGTATAAAATACTGATGTGTCTTATAATTGATGTTTTAGATTTGATGAAATACGGGACTTTGTTAGTTAACTCTTTTATTTCTCTAGATAGATGAGATCACCTATAAATATGTATGGACAAGTCCAGTAAAGTTTGTTTTTTTTCTTTTTTCTTTTTTTAAATTAAAGTAGAACATACAAGTTGGGTGTGGTGGCTCACGCCTGTAAACCCAGAACTTTGGAAGGCCAAGGCAGGTGTATTGCTTGAGCCCAGGGGTTTGGGACCAGCCTGGGCAACATAAGTAGACTCTGTCTCTACAAAAAATGCAAAAAGTAGCCGGGAGTGGTGGCTCATGCCTGTGATCCCAGCTACTTGGAAGGCTGAGGCAGGAGGATCACTTGAGCCTGGGAGATGGAGGTGGCAGTGAGGTGAAATTGCACCACTGCACTCCAGCCTGGGTGACAGAGTGAACCCTTGATTTAAAAAAAAAAAGTAGAACTTACAGATAGAAAAGTACACAAAATAATATAGATTTATAGCTGAATTAATTACCAGAAAACAAAAACATCTGTATAACTACTATCCAGGTCAAGGAATAGAATATTACCGGCATCTAAGAAATTACCCCCTTGAGTTACCCCTTCCAATGTTTATCTTCTTCATCTTCCCCAGATTATTCTGATTTTTTTTTTTTCTTGAAGTGGAATCTCGCTCCGTTGTCCAGGCTGGAGTGCAGTGATGTGATCTCGGCTCACTGCAACCTCTGCCTCCCAGGTTTAAGCAATTCTCCTGCCTCAGCCTCTTGAGTAGCTGGGATTACAGGTGCGTGCCACCACGCCCAGCTAATTTTTGTATTTTTAGTAGAGACGGGGTTTCACCACGTTGGCCAGGCTGGTCTTGAACTCCTGACCTCAAGTGATCCACCTGTCTTAGCCTTCCGAAGTGCTGGGATTACAGGCATGAGCCACAGCGCCTGGCCTATTATTGGAGTTTTTAATTGTTTTAAGAGTTCTATATTCAATCTACTTACATTTAATGAGATTAATGACATATTTGAACTTTTTTCTACCTGATTTTGTTTTTCATTTGCCGAAGTTTTTTTCTTTGTTGTAATTTACTACATTAATCAATATTTTATTTCTTTTTTTCTCATTGATTTGAAAGTTATATATATCAGTCCAGAATTCAGTTGATTTATTTCTCAATCTGCCACTATTCTGTGGAACCTTAATAGTTTAGTGTTCCACTTCTACTACAAGTGTAACTGTAAGAGACAGAAAAACCAAACTGTTTTTCCTACGTAAGACTCTCAATACTTCACCTCTGACACCAAATGTGTGGGTTTTTGCCACACCAAACAATTCTCCAGGGGACACCAACTGGGTATCCTGTAATTCAACTCAATTCTGACACTATCTCCCTGGAATTAGAGTCAGATACCACGGGTTAAGTTTCAGTCCCATAAGAGACCCCAGCTTCAGACACCAGTCACAAGTCCCAGGTTGTGACCTATGCTTCTGAGCGACAGGCTATAAAATTGGGGTTCCCTTGACCCCCTCCTGGGGTTTGCTAGGATGGCTCACAGAACTTTGAGAAACACTTTACTTATGTTTACCCATTTATCATAAAGGGTGTTATAGAAGATACAGATGAACAACCAGATGGAAGAGATGCGTAGGACAAATTATAATATGTGGAAGGGCACAGAGCTTCCATGCCCTCTCCAGGGGAGCCACCTTCCAGGAACCCCCACATGTTCACCATCCTGGGAGCTCCCCAAACCCTGTAGTTGTGGGATTTTTTTTTTCTTTTTTTCTTTTTTTGAGACCGAGTCTCGCTCTCGTTGCCCAGGCTGGAGTTCAGTGGCGTGATCTTGGCTCACTGCAACCTCCGCCTCCCAGGTTCAAGTGATTCTCCTGCCTCAGCCTCCTGAGTAGCTGGGATTACAGGCATGCACCACCTTGCCCAGCTAATTTTGTATTTTTAGTAGAGATGGGGTTTCTCCATGTTGGTCAGGCTGGTCTTGAACTCCCAACCTCAGGTGATCCGCCTGCCTTGGCCTCCCAGAGTGTTGGGATTACAGGCGTGAGCCACTGCACCCAGCTAGTTCCAGAATTTTTACGGAGGCTTCATCGCATAGGCATGATCGATGACGAACTCAGTCTCCAGCCCCTCTCCACTTCCTGGAGGATGGAGGATGGGAGTGGGAGTTCCAAGCTTCTAATCATGGCATGGTCTTTCTGGTGACCAGCTCCCATCCAGGAGTCCTCCAAGAGTCACCTTATTAGAGAAAAAACAAAACAAAATGCTTCCTTAGGAAATTCCAAGGGATAAGAGCTCTGTGTCAGGAACTGGGGTTAAAGACCAAATATTAGGAAAAAAGATGAACCTAGCACCCCTAGTGCTTGGGAAATTAGAAGGGTTTTAGGAGCTCTGGGCCAGAAACTGGGCTAGAGACCAGATGTATATTTTTTATTATATTACAATAAAAACCTAATTTATTCATTTACTGTTAGATATTTATTCACTTTAATGGGATGTTCGCTCTCCTTCATTGGTAGGCAGGTAGAAGTAATATAGTATCTTCCTTCTAATTAGAAGTCTGCCTTTGCCAGCCTTTCCCTTGAGGGTGGGTGTCACATTTATTTGTCCTTATATCCTCTATGATGAGCCCAGCATCTGCCACACAGTTAGGCACTTAAGTGCTTGTTGAAAGACTCTGTGAAGAAGTGTAATTGAATAAGAAAAGATCTCTGAGCAGCAAATCACAGTAACTTGAGTTCTGGGTGCTAGGGAGCTCATTTTGATAGACTGGAGGAAATGGAGAGAGCATTCCAGGCCTGCACACAGAGAAGTGTTTGCTAAATGAGGTAGAAGATTTGAGGTGCCCATCAGCTGACTAGTGAAAAATGGACACCAGTGTCAGAGAGAAGCTGGAAAACCTGCTAACCTAAAACTCATTACAGGAACAAATGTAGGAAAGCTGGGAGGCAAAGGGGGGAAACTTGGACCAAGGAGACCTAGATTTTAGTCCCACCTCTGCCAGTTTGTGAATCTGGGTTGACTTAATCTGTCTGAATCTTATTTATTTATTTATTTTGAGACGTAGTCTTGCTTTGTCGCCCAGGCTGGAGTGCAGTGGCACGATCTCAGCTCACTGCAACCCCCGCCTCCTGAGTTCAAGCGATTCTCCTGCCTCAGCCTCCCAAATAGCTGGGATTACAGGCATGTGCCACCCTGCCCAGCTAATTTTTTGTACTTTTAGTAGAGATAGGATTTTACCATGTTGGTTGGTCGGGTCTCGAACTCCTGACCTCAGGTGATCCACCTGTCTTGGCCTCCCAAAGTGCTGGGATTACAGGTGTGAGCCACCTCGCCCAGCCTGAATCTTAAGTTTTTTATCTGTAAAATGGGAAGGATAGTCTTTGTGTTTTGTGACTGACTTAGTTGTTGTAAGTGGCAAATTATCTAATTGCTAACTGCTGTAAAAATGTAAGGTGGCATTTTTAGTTCTTAATAATAGCACCAAGTTATTAAGAAAAGGCTAGATTGTGTTAGGCATATTCTAACTAAGAAAACAAATCTTTGGTGGCTATTTTAAAAGTAGTTTTACATGGCCATAGAGAAGTAAACTTAAGTTCTCTGGAAAATGTATTTATGGGGAACAGCTCCATGGGCCCTGACAAGGCAGAATGAATGGGACTCGCCTGGGACCGAAAGCCAGAAGACTTGGCTCTGCCACTCTTTGGGAACCTTGAGTAAAACACTTAAGATTATGGTAGCCCTCTTAGTTTTATTTTATATTTGTTGTTTTTTCTTGTCCTTATCTGGATTTCAGAAGGTTACATTTTCCTGTTTCTGTTTTAGGTATCACTCTACCCTATTCTTCCATTCTGATTTCCTAAGGTCTCCTCTTCCCCACCCACCCCTGAAAAAATACTCTAGGGAGCCACTTGGATGGAAAACCCTCCCTGTGTACTCTTCATTTGGAATATACTCCTGAGCCTGATTTGATCAGCTGTCTTGTGATTTACATAATAGTTGGCTGGTGCAGTTTTTTTGCAGCTTCTGAACTGTTCTTAAATTGGTTGATTGCATTAGTGTAACTTGTCAGCAATGAGGGTGGTGGCTCCCTTCCCACCACCAGCAGTGTCCTCAAACTCACTCCTGAAACATGCTGTTTTATGCAAATCATTACTAGAAAGGTAACAGGACTTACAGTCAGAGTTGCTTTGATGTATATAAGCTTGGGAGTTAAATAAATTACAGACTGAGGATTTAGGTTTTTTTTTTTTTTTTTTTTTTTTTTTTGAGACGGAGTCTCGCTCTGTTGCCCAGGCTGGAGTGTAATGGCATGATCTCAGCTCACTGCCAGCTACGCCTCGCGGGTTCACACCATTCTCCTGCCTCAGCCTCCCGAGTAGCTGGGACTACAGGCACCTGCCAACATGCCTTATTAAGTGGAGCACTTTTACCTTTTCACTTAAAGGGGACATTTTCCAGCTTCTTCAGCATATCTGAATCGCCAGCATCACTGTAGTTGCTCTTTGAGGCCATTACGAAGTCAAGTTCAAGGTTACTTGAACACAAGCAGTTTGATACGAGACAGTTGCTGTGATCACCAAGACAGCTACTAGGTGACTAACAGGCAGGGAGCGTCTACAGCATGGATACACATTTTAAAACTTATGGGCCAGGCGCAGTGGCTCACGCCTGTAATCCCAGCATTTTGGGAGGCTGAGGTGGGTGGATCACCTGAGGTCAGGAGTTGGAGACGAGACTGACCAATATGGTGAAACCTCATCTCTACTGAAAAATACAAAAATTAGCCAGGCGTGGTGGCACACACCTGTAATCCCAGCACTTTGGGAGGCCGAGGCTGGTGGATCACTTGAGGTCAGGAGTTTGAGACCAGCCTGGCCAACATGGTGAAACCCCGTCTCTACTAAAAATACAAAAATTAGCTGGGCGTGGTGGCACATGCCTGTAATCCCGGCTGCTCAGGAGGCTGAGGCAGGAGAATCTCTTGAACCTGGGAAGCGGAGGTTGCAGTGAGCCGAGATCACACTACTGCACTCCAGGCTGGACAACAGAGCAAGACTCCGTCTCAAAAATAAAATAAAACTTATGAATTGTTTATTTCTGGAATTTCCCATTGAATATTTTTGGACCCAGGGCTGATGAGGAGTAACTGAAACTGAGGAAAGTGAAACCAGATGGCAGTACAGTTGAGGCCCCTTTTGTATTTTTCTCCTCATTCCATTCTCTTTTCTCCCTCACTAGAAGTTACTATTGTCATTCTATTATAGACGAGTTCTGTTTTTACATTTGTACTGCTTGTGTATCTGTCATATATAGTATTGTTTTATGTAAATATCTTACAGTATGCATCATTTTGCAGTTTGCTTACCCCCCCCCACTTATGCTTGTAAGGTTTTTTCATATTGATACATACATTGATACATGAATTCTCATTTATTAATTTTACTGCTGTATAGGTTTCCCTTATATGAATATACCATAGTTTATTTTTCAGCTCTTATTGATGGACATTTTGGTTGTTCCCAGTTTTTTGCTTTTATAAACAATGATGAAGTGAAATGAATATCTGTGTTCCTGGCTTCCTCTGTGCACGTGTGAGAGTTCCTCTAGCCTGAGTATATACCTAGGAGTGAGATTGCTGGGTTGCAGTGTATATGAATCTTAAACTTTACCAGAACAATCAAGTTGCTAATAGTCTGTGAGAGTACTTGTTTTTCCACATCTTTTGATGGATTTAAAATGATATCTCATTGTTTGAATATTTTTGATTCTAGTGAAGTCAATCATCTTTTCATATTTTTATTGACAATTCAGATTTTCTGTCTAAATTGCCAGTTTCTGTTCTTTGTCTATTTCTCTATTGGATTGTTTATTTGTCTTATAGTTTTGTAGAAGTTCTTTATATAGTCTGGATATTAGTCCTATGTTAATTATGCAGAGATCTACTTCTGGACTTTGGCTTGTCTATTGACTTTAAGGATATCTTTTTGTCAAATGGAAGTTGTAGTTTAGTCCAATTAAGTTCAAATATGTCAGTATTATATTTGAGCTTTAAGAAAGTCTCTTCTGCCCTGGTGTTATACTGATAGTCTGCTATATTTTCTAATTAAAGTTTTAAAGTTTTCTTTCCACATTTAGGCCTTCATTCCATTTAAACTTTAAGTGTTCAATGTGAGGCAAGGATTCTGTTTTATTTTTTTCTCTGTGGATGCTAGTGGTCTTAACACTGTTTTTTGAACAATTCAGTTCAGACTCACTGAGTTATCGTGCTGCCTTTGTCACGTCCATGATGTCTCGCTGATTTCTGCCTGTGTTTGCATCACTCCCACACTGCCTTTAATGTTTTATCACTAAGACTTTGTCTTTGGTTGAGTTGACTCCTGCCTCCATCCACTCCCCACTTTGTTGGTTGTTCTTCAAAATTATTTGGGCTACTGGGATTTTACTCTGTATGAATTTTGGATCAACTTATTTAGATCCTTGAAAAAAAATCTGTTAGGGCTTTAATTGAATATGCACTTGAAATTATGGATTATTTTGGGGGAGAACTGACATCTTTATGGTCTTTTCATTCATGAAAACAATTTATTTAGATTTTCTTTCGTGTCCTTTACCTTATAAATTTTTCTGTAAAAGCCTTGTACTTCTTTCATTAGATTTCTTCCAACGTGCCTTGTAGTTTTTGTTGTCATGTTAATGAGATTTTTTTCTTATATTTTCTATTAGTTATTTTGATATATGGAGATAATACTGATTTTATGTTTTCGTCTTCTTATATTCAGAAACCTTGCTGACCCCTCTTCTCAGCTGTAATAGTTTGTCTGTAAAGTCTCTTTGATTTTCTGTATTGTCTCATTTTCAAATAGACAGCTTTATTTCCTTTCCCATTGCAGGTTGAATGTCTTATATGGAGTTCAGACTTTATTCTCTATCAAATTAGGACCCATTGAAGGGTTTGAGTATAGAAGTGACATTTATTTATTTATGTATGTATGTATTTATTTTTATTATTTTTGAGATGAAGCCTCGCTCTTGTCCCTCAGGCTGGAGTGCAATGGCATGATCTTGGCTCACTGCAACCTCTGTCTCCTGAGTTCAAACGATTCTCCTGCCTCAGCCTCCTGAGTAGCTGGGATTATAGGTGGCTGCCACCATGTCTGGCTAATTTTTGTAGTTTTAGTAGAGATGGGGTTTCACCATGTTGGCCAGGCTGGCCTCGAACTCCTGACCTCAGGTGATCCACCTGCCTCAGCCTTCCAAAGTGCTGGGATTTCAGGCGTGAGCCACCGCCCCTGGCCAGAAGTGACATTTAAATATTACATTTGAGAAGCACAATTTTGGTAGCCAGAAGACAGTGTGAAGATAAACAGGAGATCAGTTAGGAGACACTGTTATTCCAGTCACAGGATACTGCAAGCCTGACCTTGGGTAATAGCAAAAGGGAAGGAAGGGCAGAGATAAATGTAAGAGCTATTTTAAAATTAGGATCAAAGGGACCAGGTAAATGAGTAAATATGATAGCGAAGATTCAGGGAGTCAACCGTGACACCTAGGTTTCTGCTTATAAACCTGCAGTAATATTCATAGGAGGAGGAACAATGTTGACAACAAAACATCTGCTTCTCAGCAGGGCTAGGATAGGTATTTGGAGCCTATCTGTGTGTAGATAATCATTCTCAGCAATTTGATTTGAATAGCATTTTCCTCAGTTTGTTTTTCAAAAATTTCCATGTAGATAAGTATCAGCCCGATACGGAGCTTCCGGAGACCCAGAGGTTGCAGAGTGAGCTTGATGTATTAGATGCGGATATAGTTCTGGAAGAAGGACCATTTATTCTAGACCAAAGTGCAAGCTTCAAAGACGAGGTGTTAGCCGTGGCAAAAACAAAAGCAGGGAAAAAGAAGCCTGTGACTGAGAATGTGCCGTTTAGGAAGAAAGATACTCTGGCGCCAGCAAGACAGCAAGTATGAAATCATTCCTCTCTTTTGGCCCATTTGTGTTAATCTGACATTGTCAAGGTCACATAAACTGGTATATGGTGGAGCCAGTTCTCAGGCAATTGGATGCTGCAGTCCTTGAGTCTGGCTATTTAAGTTGTTTATATATTTTAACAAAAAAATAACAATTTTTAATATTGTTACTAGAATAGAGAATTCTTTCTATTCCTGGTTTGGTAAGATCCTAACTAATATGATACCAATATCCTAATTGGGCAGGAGATTTTAAAATTCAGTTTTTTTTCTGCTTCTGATTTGGAAGTGTGAGACTTGAGGGGATTAAGATTTGGTTCCTGCCGGGTGTGGTGTCTCAGGCCTATAATCCCAGCAATTTGGGAAGCGAGAGGATTGCTTGAGGCCAGGAGTTTAAGACCAGCCTGGGCAACATAGTGAGACCCCATCTCTACTAAAAACAAAATTAGCCAGATGTGGTAACTCATGCTTGTAGTCCCAGCTATTTGGGAGCCTGAGGCAGGAAGATCACTTGATCCCAGGAGTTTGAAGCTGCAGTGAGCTGTGATCGATCCACTGTACTCCAGCCTGGGCAACAGAGTAAGACCCTGTCTTAAAGAAAAAAAAAAATTAGTTCCTGCTAAAGATAAATATCGATCAATAATAATTACTGCATATTAAAAGGGCATCCTAGGGTGAGTGCTTTCTAATATGGCTTTGGGAGCCAGCAGGGTACAACTTGATTTGAAACTACATTATATTTTAAGCTTCTGTTTAAAACTTACTTATGGCCCTATCAGTGGAAAACTGGCCAAAAGACCACCTCCTGGTCGAATACCCTTATTGTATTAGTGACATTTGGTGGTCTTGCCCAAAGGCTTCTTTAGCAAATCTGTTTATTTTCAGGTGGCCTCCAGAAAAGGAGAGTTAGCAGTTATCCCAAGTTATTGACAGATAATGGATTAGGATCAAGTCTGTTTCTTCCCAAACTTCTATGGCAGGGGGCGACCATGAATCATTGAGATGTCAAGATTGAACCTGTAGGAATTCAGATGGGTGCGCCTCTCCACAGACAGCCCGCATTCTCGATAACATTTTTTAAATCGCTAGATTCATTCTATTTAGACCTAAGGCCCAGAGAGGTTAAGTATTTTTATGAAAAATGTTTTACTCATTACTTGAGCCCAGGAGTTCAAGACCAGCCTGGACAACACAGTGAGACCCTGGCTCTACAAAAAATAAAAAATTAGCCAGGCATGGTATCTAACACTTGTGATCCCAGCTATTCAGGAGGCTAAGGCAGGAGAATCGCTTGAGCCCAGGAGTTTGAGGCTGCAGTGAGCTATGATCATACCTCTGCACTCCAGCCTAGGCAACAGAGCAAGACCCTGTCTCTTAAAAAAAAAAAAAAAAAAAAGAGAAAGAAAAGAAAAAAGAAAAATAATTTAACAATATGGTATGAAATTTTTTTTGTTTAATTAGGAAACAAATTGTGAATAAATAAAAATATATTTTATATATTGTTTATATGTTTAAAGGTGTCAGGCAGAGCCAGGGATTTAAATTCTACACCCTCCACCCCCCGCCCCTACCATGGTTGTTTCAATGAAATTTACACCCTCCCCCAAATTTCTGCCACAGTGCTTTCTACTCAGGTTTTACCGAATGGATGCATGAATAACATGGAGAACTTGGAGCTTCAGTGAGTCAGAGGTTAAACCATAGTTTCTTTGGTATTTGTGTGGCCTTATAATTCTTACTTATCTCTCACAGGGACTCCGCAAAGCTGAAAGAGGTAGACAAAGCCAACCTCACAGTAAAAGCAGAGTGCAGCAGACAACAGTTTCATCCAGATTAAAAATGAACCGGCAGCCTGTGAAAGACCGCAAGGCACCATGGATACCCCCAAACCCCACATCCCCACCAGCGTCTCCTAAATGGTATGTGAAAACTCAAGGGACCGTTTGTGTATGTGATGCTCTTTTTCCTCCATATATCAAAGGTGACCTGTAGCTTATAAGGAGCAAATTAAGTAGTAGCCTTAATTTTTTCCATTAAGCAGAAATCCTTTTTTGGGTGAGTCATACATGAGAAGTCTTTGTCTGGAAGCTTGTTGGTTCCTTCTTCTGCCTGACTGTGGTTGGAACACCCTTCCATGGGCCACCCCAACACCGGGACATGTGTGATTGAATGGAAGATGGGGGGCTTCCCTTCACTTGTCTCTTCTGCCAATAGATTCTAGTAACTTGAGGCCAGGGACTGTGTCTTTTTTATATTCTTTTTTATATTTGAATGTCCAGTGCTAGTCACATAGTAGGCATTCAGTAAATCTTTGCTGAGTAAATAAATATTTTAAAATAATTCTAACTCTAAGTCAAGATAATTATGAACTATAAAACTATATAGATCTCACCAACACTGTCTTAGCTGCAGGGAGCAATTAGGATAATGTTGATGTTACTGTCTTGTCATCCTCACTCATAGCACATTAGAATGAGAAGCTGCCATTTCACAGGGCTAGAGAGAAGAGGAGCAGGGTCCAGTTAGGTGGAAATAATCTTTAGGGGAATCGGTTGAAGATAAAGGGGAGCTCGTTTGCCGTGAGGCAGTAGTTTTTGAAAACACAATGGAAAGGACCAGGAGGTGGAACAGAAAAAGGAAAGAAGTAAAAAGCAGTCATGTCAGGGGAGAAGGGAGAAGATAGGTGACTACAGGGTTCTGTCTTTGGAGCCATCAGAAGTCAGGGTGAGCAGCTTGGTGGAAGAGAAGCCCCCTAAGATTCCGAATGAGTGTGAAGGAATGGCCGTGCTCATCCATCCACTCTCATTTTCAAGTTAAGGAAACAATGTTTAGAGAATTTAATGTCTTATTCATGTAACAGCCAGACCTAAAATCAGGTCTTCTGACTTCATAATGTGCTTTTTTTGTTTTTATTACTCTATTCTGTTTTCTGTATTTTTGTATACAAGTATTAATATGGAGATTTACATTCAGTTGATAAGCTCAGTGGTTGAAGTTTGTATTACAAACCAAATATACAATGGACTGTCTTTTAGAGTGCATGTGTGGTGGGTAGAGGAGGGTGGGTGAGGCTTCTAGGCTCAACAGTGCTGTTAGGCCTTATAAAGATACGGAGTTGCCTTATAATATGGAATGTAATTAGTGATCCAAATCTATGTATTGTGACAGAGTTTTGTTGACACTCACCCAATATTCTGTAATTGATCACTGTTTCTCATTTAAAATGGTGATGGCTTCTTTGAAGCAAAGGAGAATTTCTGCCCTTTGACACTGTGCCTGAGTGCGGGAGGATCTCACTTTTCTTCACATTCAGCTTCTACTGTAGGGCCCCGTGCTACAGATCACCATTAATTTAATGCTGTTGTCATCTCTGAGCTGGCACCTACTTGGATGAGTCATTGGATACGGAGTGAATGATGACAAAGGTATGCTTTTCCATTTATTTCAGTGCTGCATGGCTAAAGGTGAAAACTAGCCCCAGAGATGCCACAAAAGAGCCTCTCCAGCAAGAAGATCCTCAAGAGGAAAGTCACCTGACAGGTGCTGTTGAGCATGAAGCAGCCAGGTTTGTGCTGGTATTTTTCAGATCTTTGAGAATTAAAGAGCTCCTTTTACATAGACTTGGAAGTGAACCCTTTCTTCTCTTTCCTACATTTAAAGTTGGTTATTTAAAATGTAGATTATTTTTAAAAATAGAATAAATACATAAAATGTAGTTTATTAAACGTTTCAGTCAAACTATATAGCTTATAGTGAGCTCTTCTATTTTTTCTTATTCATTCATAAATTATATATGTGTCAATTATATATCACTTGCTAGTTTTGTATGTGACAGTGTTATGAGCTCTATGGAGACTTTAAAAAGGGCAAATAGGCCATAATCCCAGCCCTTGCTTATTTATAGTCAATAGAGAAGTTATGTAATTAACTATAATTTAAGATAGAACACGGTATGTAACCTAGGAACTGAGAGAGTTTAGAAACGGGGGAGGGTTACTTCTGGCTGCAGAGGTCTAGGCTTCATGGATGGAAATTAAACTAGGACCTGAAGAACAGGCAGGATTTCAATATGGGAGATGAGGTGAGAACATTCCATAAGAAGAGAACAGTGAGAACAGGTTTCTCTGTATTCATTTGGCTGAAATTATTCTTACAGTTATGGGAAAACAAAAATGAAAGCGGTCCATTAAATAATTTGACAATATTCATATATCCTAAACCAAAAGAATCAAAGCACTTTTACATACAGCAGAGTTGTTCACAGTTAACTTTTCCCTTTTGTTTTTATTTGACTTCACCATGCCTATATGGCTCCTGGGGGCTCATTGTTTGTCTCAACTTGAAGATATAGCAATGGTTTTGTTTGAGTCTAATAAGAAACCCCAAGTCTGAGTGATAGCTGGTTTTCTTGAGAACGTTTGAGACAGGTTCTCATTGCGTTGTGCATTAATGTTTTTTGACATGGAACACGTTCTAGAGAGCTTTAGGGGTACGGAGAGATTATGTTACCTACTGAGTAGCTTAATAGAGCCTGGATTGGTGCTCTGCTCTGCAGTGGTCCTGATTTCTGGTCTGTTTCTGTGATGATGACACCCTGCAGTGTCGAGGCAGAATTGGTTTGACTCTTTTGACTGTCTGCTAGGCTCGCTTGGCTTGATGCTGAAACTTCCAAAAGATTGAAGGAACTAGAAGAGTTAAAAGCCAAGGAAATTGACAGCATGCAAAAACAGAGGTAAATATTTGCTTCTGAGTTAGGAAAAGGTAAGCAGGCCTATTCTACATCTCTATACATTAATGATAAATAGAGATTATTTAGGTCTAGCTACACTTCTGCCTCCTTAAAAGACTGAAGTCACTTAAGAAGCCAAGGGGGGAGCCAAGACTGGAGCTCAAGGGAGCCCTGACTCTGCCTTGAGGAGAGTTGGGGTGACTCTTGATACTGTTCTCTAGGCTTGATTGGCTTGATGCTGAAACTTCTAGAAGAACAAAGGAACTGAATGAGCTCAAAGCTGAAGAAATGTATAGACTCCAACAATTGAGGTATGTGTTTGCTTCTTAGGAAGAATAGTGGATGTTTGCCTGTTCTAATTGATCTAGATAGTTCTAGCAACCAACCTGGACTGTTAAGGCCTAACTTCATTACATGAATGAATGAATAGCTGCATGTCTACCTGTATATTATACCATATTTTTTTGCTAGGAAATGCTTCTTTTGTGTGGAGTTTGAAGGAGAACTGAAAAAAATCTGTAATTGTAGAGAAGTTCTGTCTGAAAGATCAGAGTCTTATGTGTATTTGTTTGGACTACCCTCAAAGGTACTTTTCTCTAGCCAGATGTCAGTCCTTCTAAGGGCAGAAGATGAGTATGATGCACATACATGTTCTGCTCATGTGAATCAACATATAGCTACTTTAGTTTCGTATGTTAGCTTGAGTGCAGGCTATGGTTTTCAAATGCGGTTCCCTTTTTCTATTCACTCCATAAGTGTTTTTTAAACTATAGGCACTATAGACATAAAGAAGCTTGTTAAAAGATTTAGTTCAGCTGCTGCTGCAATTACCTCATTTTTCCAACTCTGATAATAATTCATCCTATAGTCACATTAACAGAACACTCATTGAAACATCTGTGCATTCTGTCACCATTCATGATGGAGTGTTCAGTCTCAGGTTAGAAGGGCTGTGGGTTTATCATTAGAAGGCCAAGACTTTTTGTCTGTAGTAAAGATTTCAAGTCATACAATCCCAGAATCTTGGGATTTGAAGGATCTTTTCCCCCCAACTGAGGCTTTTGGCTCCTCTCTACTATCTCCACCAAGGAACTGTCCAGTATATTTACACACACCCTCTGTGATGGGATAGTCACTACTGTCAGAGGGAATACATTTCATGGTCATTTATAGCTAAGAAGGTGTGACCTCAGGCTGTGTTGAAGTTTGGTTCTCTGTGACTCTTACCCACTTGTCCTTTGGGCCATATAGCAAAAGCTTCATCCTCTGTGTCCCGTTTATTCCTCTGTGTGTTTTTACTTCAGAAATTAAACATATCACACATATAGAAGAACATACTGAATGCACATGTGCAATCCAAAATATTACAGAATGAACATCCACGCACCACCATCGTAAGTCAAGGAATCGACCGTTGCCACTGCTGCAGAAGTTTCCAGTGTATCCCTCCTCAGTTGCATCCCCTTTCCCCCGAGAGGCAGCCACTGTCCTGATTCTTGTGTTGATCTTTTCATTACTCTTCTTCATAAATCTGTCAACTATGTGTGTATCCCTAACAATATCTTGTTTAATTTTGAAAACTGAGAAACAGGCACAAATCTAGCTGAACATGGAAAGGGCAGTGTTTCTGGTAGTATCAGATGAAGACTCCTAGGGGAAGACAGGTTGAACAGAGCCTGGATCCTAATCTGATTTGTGCTTTCATGAGAGTTGTAGGTGCCCCTCTCAGGAGGTCACTGAGCAGGGTCGGGAGTGAGTCCTGCACACACAGGGCGTCCTCCATCTGGAGGGCCTGTCGGTGAGCCAGGTCCACTGGACTTCGGGAGGAAGCCTTGTCAGGAGAGGGGCTGCGCTGTAATGCACGGCTTCTCAGCTCTTTCTGGTCAGCTACTGTGGGGATGGGATGACTATCCTTAGCAGACAGCAGGTCTGCAGTGAGTAGGAGAAACTTCATCAGCAAAGGGGCAAGACAAGCCAGGAATCTAGGCTTAGACCTCCCATTTCCCATATTGTGTTGTAATCTTCTTCAGTTTACTTGCTTGTTTTGATGGAGCACATGCTAATGTAGCTGCTGCTTTTTTTTTTTTTTTTTTTTCAAGTTAGAGACAAGGTCTCACTATGTTGCCCAGGCTGGTCTTGGACTCCTGGGCTCAAGTGATCCTTCTGCCTTGGCCTCCCGGAGGGCTGGGGTTAGGCATAGGTTAATTTAGCTTCTTGAGAAAGGATGAATGGGAAGTAAATCCTTTCAGACCTTTCAAGTCTGAAAATGTCTTTATTAGCTGATAAACCATCTCATATTTGCTGGTAGCCTTACTGGGTATAGAAGATTATTTTTATTGGAAATTTTTAATTAAACTTCTTATTGTGAGGTAATCGTAGAGTCACACGAAGACCCAGTTTCCCCAGATGTTAGCCTCTTGGGAAACTACAGCACAGTACTACAACCAGGATATTAACATTGGTATAGTCGAGATACAGAACCTTCCCACCCCCAAGGAGCCCTCATGTTGCCACACCCACTTCTCTCCTGCCCCCATTCACTGCTTGGCTAAATATCTCCTGGCAACCACTCATCTGCTCTCCCTGTCTATGATTTTGTTATTTCAAGAGTGTTATTATAAGTGGAATTGTATAGTATGTAACTTTTGGGGACTTCTTTTCTTTACATCATTCTCTGGAAATTCATGGAGCTCATCACATGTATCAGTAGTTCATCCCTTTTTGTTGCTGAGTAGTATTCATGGTGTGGATACAAACAAACCATAGTTTAACCATGTACCTCTTCAAGAACATCTGAACCTGTGGTCCCAGCTATTTGGGAGGCTGAAGTAGGAGAATCACTTGAGCCTGGGAAGTCGAGGCTGCAGTGAGCCATGATCATGTCACTGCACTCCAGCCTGGACAACAGAGCAAGACCCTGTCTCAAAAAAAAAAAAGAACATCTGAGTTCTTTTCCAGTTTGGGGCTATTATGAATACAGTTTCTATAAACAGTTCTGTAGAAGTATTTGTGTGAACATAAGTTTTCCTTTTTTCCTGGGATAAATGCCCAGAGGGCAGTTGCTGGGTTGTATGCTAGTGGTATGTTTTGTTTCGCTTTGTTCCAAACTGCCATACTGTTTTCCAGAGTGGCTCTGTCTGTTCCCACCAGCAGTGTTTGAGGGATCCAGTTGTGCTGCATCTTTGTCAGCACTTGGTGGTGTCACTCTGCTTTTTTGTAGGCGTTCTGATGGGTGTATAGTGGCCTCTGAACATCTTTTCATGTACTTGTTTGCTCTCCACTCAGTCTTTGCTGGCATGTGGCCATGGGTTTTTCTGCAGTGTTTGGCTGCAGTAGAGCAATTATTTTCTAAGTTTTCCATCTTTCTCGGCTGCCCCTTTCTTGGTCCTTTTGATAGAGAGAGCAGACTTTATTTGCACTGAAGACTTATTTTTTGTCTGTGCCTATTGGTGTTTCTGGGTTGCCGGCTTCTCCAGTACCTACTCTGGGAAATATAAGGCAAAGAGAAATCCCAAAGAACTCACTGCTCTGTCATTCTTTTGGTCCCAGTGTCCCTAGGTGATGTGCCTTCTCTACTTCTCTCCGAGTCCTCTTATGTTTGCATATATTTAATGTCCAGGATTCTTAGTTGTAATTAACAGGAAGAAGAGTGGAAAGTACATTTTTCAGCCTCTTCAGAAGCAAAAATCTGAGCATTTCTGCTCATTGGCTTGTTTCCAATGAGAAATCAGAATTGCTTTTTATCCTTCTCTAGAGGCTCACAGACTCTGCTTTCTCCCCAGGGTATCTCAGATTCATAATGATAGGACTTATTGTGGGTGTGTTTTCATTCATCAGTAGACCTTTTAAGCCTGGCAATTTATTTCCTTTAATTCTGAGAAGTTTTCGTGCTTTATTTTGTACTTTTTTTTTCTTGTCTCTGTTTTCTCTATTCTCTGTTTCTGAAACTCCTGTTCTTTGATGTTGGACTTCCTTGATTGGTCCTCTGATTTTCTTATCTGTTTTTTCCTATTTTCTTTTTTCCCTCTTCTACCTCTACCCCTACCCTCCCCCAGTAGGAGATTTCCTCCAACTTTAACATTTAACCTATTGAGTTTGTCATTTCTGCCAGTGTTTAAATTTTAAAATTTAAAAATGTTGAGAGCTCTATTATATTCTCCAAATATCTCTTACTTAGTGGTCGCCTGTCCTTCTTTCATGGATTCAGTGCTGTTTTCTTTCTGAATATATTAACACATTTCCTCTGCCTTTTGACCTACATAATCTTTTTTTTCCTTCCTCAGATACCTAGTAATCTTGGCTATCTTCTCATGTTTAAACGTAGGGGGAGTGATTGCCGATCAAAAACTCAGAGTATGTGGGTTGGAATTAGTATTTTAGTTTTCTAAATAATTGTTTCTATCGTGGTATAATTTACATATAGTAAAATGCAAAGAACTTAAAGGTACAGTTCAATGAATTTTGACAAATGCATATCCCTGGGTAACCAAAACGCTAATCAAGATAGATAATTTGTCCTTCAACCTAGAAAGTACCCACATGTCTTTTTTGGTCGTTCTCTACTCCACACCCCCATCCCTCACGGAGGCAGTTGCTTTGATTTCTTTTACTGTAAGTAGCTTTGCCTGTTCAGACTTTATATGAATAGAATCATCAAGATCTACCCCATTGTGTCTGGCTTCTTTTGCTCAAGAAAATGTTTACGATTCATCCACATTGTGTGTGTATCAGCATAGTTCATCCATTTTAGTGCAGAGTAGTATTCCACTGTGGGAATATACCACATTCTGTTTGTTCATTCTCTTGTGAATTGACATTTGGGCTTTCCCATTTATAGTTAGTATGAATCAAGCTGTTACATACATTCTTGCACAAGGCTTTTTGTAGAAATATGCTTTCATTTCTCTTGGGTAAATGCCTAGGAGTATAATTTCTGGGTAATAGGATAGGCAGTTGTTTGATTTTATTAAATGAGCCATATGCATTATCCAGAGTAGTAGCTTTTTATACTCCCATCAGCAGTGCATGTGAGTTCGTTTCTATTGGTTTCACATCCTTGCTAACAATTGAGCTTGTCAGTCTTTTAGTGATTCTGGTGAGAATGTGGTGGTATCTCTTTGTGGTATTAATTTGTGTTTCCTTGAAGGCGAATGATGTTGGGCACCTTTTCTAGTGCTGATTATGAAGTGTGTGTTCAAGTCTTTTGCCTATTAGAATTTTTTTTAAGTGTTGATTTGAGTTCTTTGTATTTTCTGGATATGAGCCCCTTGCCAGATATGTGTGCAGCAGATATTTTCTCGCAATACTATGGCTCGCCCATAGATCTTTGTAATGGTGTCTTTTGATGACTAAAAGTGTTAAATTCTGATTAAGACCAGTTTATCAATTTTTCTTTTCTGGTTAGTCATTTTTGGTGAACTAGCTAAGAAATCATTGCCTATGTTAGTGTCTCAAGGATTTTCTCTTATGTTTTCCTTTAAGTATTTTATAGTTTTACCATTTATTCTTGTGTCTGTTATCCATTTAGAATTAATTTTTGTGTATGAGATGAAATACTGGTCGAAATTCATTTTCTTTAATGGATATCTGGCTATTCCAACACCATCTGATGAAAGTAACACCTGGACTGTTTGTTAAGGACACTTATGTTGGTCTTTAGGTCTTTCCTTTGGCCTGGGTCAGACTGCCCAGAGAAGTTTTCTGATCTTTGGCCCAGAGAGTAAGATCAGGATGTTGCTTCCTAGGAGCTGAGTTGGGGAAGAGGGCTGTGAGTCTAATAACATAGCATTTAGCCTGCATACGTGACCGCTGCCTCTTTTCAGTATGGTACCTACAGCCTCAACTGTGATTGGGTGCCCCTAGTCAAGAGACCCTCACACAGAGAATGAGCCATCAGACTTCTCCTAGAGTTGGAAAGAGGCGGCTGTATAGTTGTGTGAAGTAGGGAAAGGGATCTAGGAGTCTTAATTTCTCAAACATCATTTGGCTGTTGTCGTCAGTTTTTAAACCACCCCCTCCCAGCTTAGCCCAGGCCTAGATGTACCTGGTACTACCAGTCATGTGCCTAAGTCAGCAGTACAAATTGTGTGGGTTCTAGTTTTTCCCACTGCTGGCCCTAGAAGTCAACTTCCTGTCTACGGCCATACCACCCTGAATGTGCCCGATCTCGTCTGATCTCCGAAGCTAAGCAGGGTTGGGCCTGGTTAGTACTTGGATGGGAGAAGTCAGCTTTCTCAGATCAGCTAAGTTAGTTATCACTTTTGTCCTTTGTTTTCCAGCACCATTTTTTTCTTCCTTATCCTTGTGGGTGTAAAGCTAACTCTATGGTTGTTTTAGTGGGATTTGGAGAGGGAACAAAATTAGTTTCTTTTGTTTAGTTGATTACCCTCTTTAGCTGTTAATGACAACCGTTATTTTTTTTGAAGTGTACTCAGTGCGTTACACACTTCAGATGTTACCTAAATCCCTGTGCATAAAGTAAGGCCTAGGAACAGCACTGTCACATCACCTAGGAGCTTGTTGGAAATGCAGACTCTCAGGCCTTACTCAGACCAACTGAATTGGAATCTACATTTTCACAAGATCCCCAGGAGATTGATATGGCCATGAACGGTTAGAGAAGCTCGTGGTCATTTTATTTCCCTTCTCCTGGAGTGGCAAATAAATATGCAAAATAGGATATTTTATTGCCTTTGATTTTAATTTTCAATTTTATTTCTAAATAGTGTTTCTGCCACCCACTTAGCAGACAAGGTAGAGGAGGCAGTTCTGGATCGTTTGAAGCCTCTCTTGGTCAAGGCCCAGGTAATCTATCTAGTTCGTTTCATTTGCTTGCTTTTTGGAAGTCCTGGATTTAAAATGAGTTGCTGCAGAGGTCTCATTGATCCTTTATAGGGCTAAGTGTCTCTGTGGCATCTGGAAGATACCCCCAGACCACCACACACTACTGATATGCCCTCCATTGTGGAAAAGGGATAGAGATAAAGGGACAAGGGGAAAGTCCTCCTTTTGAGAAAGTTGAGATTTTAGTTTGGGAAACAAGTTGGGATTGTAATCCCTGTTCCGAGTGAAATAGATCTGTTGGTGAAGTTAGTGTTCCATTAGCAGCTTTCACTCGAATGCTGTGTTTTTTCACCTCAGTGGTTTGGAATGATGAGCTCTATTTTTCCAAAGGAGAGAGATGTTAGGACAGCTTCTGTGCACAATCCAGTACTTTCTTGAGGATGAAATTATAGATGGTACCACCAAGAGGTTGTGCCATCCTCCCATAAGCAGTAAGCTCAATTCTATAGCCAGACCCTGTAGCTCCACCCTGTAAATAGAAGCAATCTTGTGTGTATGACTAGATGAGGCCACAGAAGAATATTATAAATTTAAATGGAATGAATGACATTCGGGGTCCCTAAACAGGCCACTGAACTTCTCTATTTTTAGTTAGAGAAATGTTAAATTTGTATTAGAGTCCATGGAAATCTCAGTAGCATAGAACTAGGAAGACTCTTAGAAGTCAAGTAGTCTTGAGCTGTGGAGTGGCTGGAAAAAAAAAAAAGAAATCAAGTAGTTCAACTTCCTCATTTTATCATTGAGGAAGCTGTGGAACAGAGAAGTTGAATGACTTGCATAAAGCATGCAGCTATTCTGACAATGTTTACAGAGTTGAGGGAAGAAAAAGGCTGGAAAGCCAAGATCAACACATGGCATTTGTTTCCATGAAGACAAAGTGCTTTGAATTGCTGCAAAAAGCCTAATGTAGCTAAAGCTGATGAATAGTTCCACACAAGTCATTCTGGTAATAGAATTCATTTGTACTAATAGGAGCTATAAGTCTTTATACTCCATGAATGTATTTGTCTGTTTTAATAGAGAGTCAATTCTACTACAGAAGCAAATATTCATTTGAAAGATGGCTCGTCAGTAAACACAGCGAAAGCCCAGCCTGCACAGGAGGTATGCGTTGTGTGATATTGGCATTCTGGTATTATTGCTTGATAACATCTTTAGTTGTAATGAAAATGAAATACAGATTACTTTGCAAACACTAGATTATCCTACTCAAGAAGTATGAATATTATTTTTCACATTTGGCATGTTAATTCTTCCAGTGTATATTTAGTATTATGACTTAGGTCAGCCCTGCAAACAGAGCACAAAAATCTTACAGCCACAGGTTTTTGTTAGTGGCTCTATCCTTCCTCTGGATAACAGAGTGTGGGTGCCCTGTGTGGCCCTGAATGTTGGTGGCCTGCGGCAGAAGAATGGCTGCCTGCCCTCATTTCCTTTCATTCAGCCTAGTTTCACTCATTATTGTCCTAATTTTCTTTATACTTGGGGCCTAATATTTATTGTTAAGCAAGCATGTTTTGAGTGCCTAATATGTGACCAGTATCTGGTCTAGCAGAGAGAAAAAGGTGACCCAGGAAAAAAATGAGAACATTTGAGAAAAATAAAAGCACATTTTCTTGTTGTCCACTCTGTACTCTTCCTCTGGAGGACCTGTTTTTAATATTTGTAGAAATGTTTCTGCCTTGCCTAGGCTTAGAGCTGCAGAGCAGAAGGTGCAAGTTGCATCCATTTAATCTTTGTGGAGTTTGGAAAGATATTTATAGCTTTAATTGCCCAGAGCAAGGAAAAGAAGCTTCATTCCAACTTCCTTCTTAGGTTTCAGAGCAGAAGGAAATTGGAATGAAGCTCCATTGGCCCAGTGACCTTAGGGGCAGGAAGAAGGTAGGTTTCAAGAATGTGTCCCTATTCTGATTATTAAGCAATATTTCAGCTGTAACATATTTTCATAATCTCTGTGATTATAACTTTATCGTACCAAGGTTTTATGACATAATCTGATGTGAGGTGAGGCTTCTAAGACTGAAAGCTAAAAGCCTACATTTGGCCATTACAAATTCAGCTGTTATGGCTTGGTGTTTTATGCAGCTTGGCCACTAAATGATATATTTTTTTTTCTAGAGGAATAGTAAGGCTAACATTTAACCCAGAGAGGCCACTCCATACTGCACTTTAATATGAAAGGAAAATGAAGTGATTATGAATGCTGGCAGTGAAATAGACATGTTTGAGTATACTAGGAATGATCAGCCTTGTATATTAGAATTATTTTGTAGGCATTACATGATGTTTAATACAATTTATTGAAACAGAAAAGTAACTCTGTGTAGTATTTAGAATTCTGGGCTGTTGTTAAATAGCAGCTTCACTGCAGAGTATTCCAGGCAGCACCGTCAAGAGTCAGTGTTTACAAAGAACTGAATGAAAACAAACAAAAGCAAACAAACTCATCAAAGTTGGCATGGTGAAGAAGAAAACTGTTTTTACTATGTTAACTTATAAAAGACCTGGGAGACCTTGAACACAAATTCTCAGTGTTCTCATCTTTAAAATGGAGGAGACATTTGCAAGTAAAATACAGCTCTCTGTAGATTTACTTATAGGCAAGATTATCTCTCATATCAGGAAAAAGCTCTTGTAAAGGTACCATTATAACGTATCTGTCTATTGCTGCTACTGTTGTCATTAACTGAACTGGCACATGAAGTATATATTTTTCCAAAATGTATGAGTTCTTTTAGAATTAAAAGTTATACATACACATGGCCAAAATTTTAAATAATTCAGAAGAAGTATATGAAAAGTTCCCCACAAGCAGGTGCCATATGCTGTTCTATACTCTGCTTCTTTATTTATAATATATTTTTGTGCTCTTTCTGTATCATTGCATTGAGACCTTCCTTATCCTTTTTAATGGGACATAGTATTTTTGGTGTTCCATTCTTTATAGATGGAAAATATACACATGCAAGCATTATTGGTTGTCTCTTGATTTTTTTGTAATTTTATTATATTGGTTATTCAGTTTGATTTTTATTTCTTTAACTTTTGATGAAAGTTGGACATTTTTTCATATCTTTATTGGCCATTAACATATTTTCTTCTGTGAATCATTAAAGGTTTCTTAAATTGCCGTAGCTGTAACCATTCATTGAGTGTCTTATTTCATGCCGAGCACTATGCTAAGTGTCTCAGCGTGCAAGCTCTTATGAAATCCCTACAGCTCTGAAATACAAGATTATTTCCATATTACACATGAGAGGATTGAGGCCCGGAGAGGTCAAGTAAACTTGCCCAAATTTGCAGGCTTATGAATGGGCAGAACCAGAATTTAATTCTAGAAATATTTCATCCTATTGCCTGATATAATTAATTCCCCCAGCAAACATTCTTTGCAAAAGCCTCTTTCAGGGCAGATTATAAACATGCATTCAAATCAAGAGAAATACAGAGCATGTAAAATTGCTTTGGAAACTGGAAAGTGCTTTTTGAATGTACAACATACCAGGTCAAGAAAGGCTGGTAGAGCTCTCCCAGATGATAGGTACAGAGTTTCAAAGACAAAGAATCCTGAACTTTGTGATGTCATATGAGCAGACGTTTTCACAGAAGCACTGCACCAAAAGAGAATAGTTACATCCTCTGGAATGTGTGACGTGTAAAATATTGGACATTCTCCTGAATGTAGCAAAAGGAAGATATTTGTTCTACCAACTGGAAAAACAGATGATAATGATAATTTGCATGGACAATAATGGTATTACTTGGTTAATGCTATCATTTAAATGACTGTGATAAAAATCATTCTGATGTTATTGCTTTTGATACTTACTGACTTAGGAGAATCTTGTTTTACCATAGAAACTCTGCCATTTGGATCTGTATGCTGTTGGTTTATTATGATTAACAATAATTTTTATGTTTTTCTGTTTTCATTATATCACCTTCCCACCCCTAATCCACCCCATGCCTCTCCTCCCCACCCCACCCCATCTTGTAGGTTGCAGCTGTTGATTTTGAATCCAACAACATTCGTCAGCTTGATGATTTTTTGGAAGATTGTGCCAGTGAGCTCTGGGCTGTGACTCATGCTAAGATCTTGGGGTCTGAAACCTTAGCCACCGTTGAGGACAGCAAGGATAGCCCAGATCTGGAGATCATGATGCGCCGAATGGAAGAGATGGAAGTAAGGTCTGGGGCTCCGGGTCTGGTTCGCTGCTAGGGGCTGGCCTCTGCCGAGTGCAATTTCTCCTCATGCCTCTGCAGCCTCATCTGTTAGAGTCACACAGTCCCAGTTTTAAATCCCTGCTCTATTGCCAACTAACTGTATGACCTTGGTATCGTCAACCCCTCTGATAAGTAGGGAGTTTTAAGGATAAAAAGAGGCATAGAGTATTCAGCGCACTGCTTGCCATGTAATCCAGTAAGTGACCATTATTATTATCCCCCGATATCACTGATGTGTAATTCCGAAGACCCTGAGACCAGGGCCTGGGCCCACAAGTGGAATCGTAGGCTTTTGCATCTGTCAGCTTGTACGTACTGTTCAGTTGCCTCCTCTTCCCAGCTGGAGTGTGATCCTATCAAATCACAGATAATTTTATCTTCTTCAATTTCTGTGATACTGCTTCACCCAGCCTAACCCCTGGATTATTCAGTGCAGGAAAATGAGGTACAATAAGGAAGTAAGTGACATGGCCAAGGTCACAAAAAAATCCTGGCAGAGCCAGAACGAGAATCCAGGTCTCCTGACTCTCAATTCAGCGTTTTCTTTTCCATCGCACCATGATTAAATCTAATTTCTGCTTTGCTGCTAGATAGAAACATTAGAAGGAAAACAATTTTTTTTTTTGGATTTGAAAGTTTAAAGATCCGCAGTTTACCCCAGTCTTGAAATCTCCCCTTGGTGATAGTTGTCTAGGCCCGGGGTGCTCAAAACAGTAGCCACTAGCCGCAGGTGCTTATTAAACTGTAAATTAATGAAAATTAAATACACTCTAAGGAGTCAGTAGTTAGTGGCTACTGTATTGGACAGGGCACATATAGAACATTTCCTCACTGCAGCAGCTTCTAGTGGCCAGTGCTGGGCTAGATTGCCTTTATGCTAATTGCTTCATTTTATTTTAGACTTCGTCTCATGAACTAATTACTTCCTGGCCTGACAGGTGCCCATGTCTGGCAGTACGTCCGTATCAGTTGTGTCTGCTGAACTTTTACATCTTTACCAGTTCTGGTTTGTAATTAAACTCATTTTTTCTCATAAATTAAACTTTTTTCTTTTTTTTTAAAGAAATACCAGGAGTCTGTTCGTCAAAGATATAATAAAATCGCATATGCTGATCCTCGACTTTGGATGCAGGAAGAAAACAATGGTGAGTGTTTCCCCATGTTTTTCCCCTAACATTTTATTCTGAAGAATTTCAAACATACAGAAAATTGAAAAAATTGTATAGTAAACACTGCTATACTCACCTTCTAGATTCTACAATTAACATTTCACTCTCTTTGCTTTGTCACCTATTTATCCCTCTATCCATCCATCAGTTCATCTTATGTTCGCATTTCAAAGTTGCACATATCAGCACACTTTACCCCTAAATATTCAGCATGCTTATTATCAACTAGAGTTTAATATTTACTTATGGCTCTTTTTTTCAAGATAAAATTTACAGATAATAAAATGCACAGATCCTAACTGTGCTATTTGGTGGTTTTTGACAACTGGATACATGTCTGTTATGCAAACCCCTATCAAGACATAGAACATATCACCTCAGAAAGTTCCCTCATGCCCCGCCACGTAGGCAACCACTGTGCTTTCTGAGTTAGCTTTGATTGTCTAGAGTTTCATATAAATGCAGTCATACGGTGTGTACTCTTTTGCCTAGACTTCTTTCATTCACCATAGTGTTTTATAAATACTATATTTATGTCATAAATACATTAAATCTGTGTTGCTTATTTCCTCTTGCTGTTATTAACAAATTTAAGTTTGTAACAAGTTTAAGCCACATATTTGGTGGCTTAAAGCACAAATTTATTCTCCTATAGTTCTGGGGGGGGGGGTCAGAATCTGAAGTGAGTGGTAAAGGACTGAAATCAGGGTGTTGGCAAGTTCATTCTGGAGGCTCCAGGGAAGGATCTATTCCTTGTTTCTTTCAGCTCCTAAATTTTGGGCTATTAGGAATAAATCTGCTATGAATATATTCATGTGTATAATCTGTGTGTATATCTTAAGTTTTTCTCTTGGATAAATACCTAATAGCAAACTTGCCAGATCATTAGATTAGTTTGTGTTTAACTTCATAAAAAATTGACAAATCTTTATCAAAGCGGCCTTGCTCCTATTTCCTACATCCTTGCCAACATTTGGTGTCATCAGTCTTTTTTGTGGTAACCATCCTGGTGAAGGTGAATAATGATATTTAGAACCTTTTCAAGTGATTTTTTTTATTTTTTGAGTCACAGTTTCACTCTGTTCCCCAGGCTGGAGTGCAGTGGTGCAGTCTCGGCTCACCACAACCTCTACCTCCCGAGTTCAAGCGATTCTTGTTGCCTCAGCCTCCCAAGTAGCTGGGACTACAGGTGTGTGCCACCACGCCCAGCTAATTTTTTAATTGTAGTAGAGACAGGGTTTTGCCATGTTGGCCAGGGTTTCGCCATGTTGCCTTCAGGTGACACACCCACCTCGGCCTCCCACAGTGCTGGGATTCCAGGTGTGAGCCATTGCGCCTGGCCTCCTGAAGTGCTGGGATTCCAGGTGTGAGCCATTGCGCCCTGCCTCCTGAAGTGCTGGGATTCCAGGTGTGAGCCATTGCGCCTGGCCTCCTGAAGTGCTGGGATTCCAGGTGTGAGCCATTGCGCCCTGCCTCCGGAAGTGCTGGGATTCCAGGTGTGAGCCATTGCGCCCGGCCTCCCGAAGTGCTGGGATTACAGGCGTGAACCACTGCTCCCGGCCTCCCGAAGTGCTGGGATTCCAGGTGTGAGCCATTGCGCCCGGCCTCCCGAAGTGCTGGGATTACAGGCGTGAACCACTGCTCCCGGCCTCCCGAAGTGCTAGAGTTACAGGCATGAGCCCCGTCACCTGGCCCCTTTTCAGGTGATTATTAGGCATTTGTATATCTTCCCTTGTGAAGCGTCCAAAATCTTTTGTCAGTTTTTTTTTGGGGTTGCTTGTCTTTTTGAGTCATAGAACTTCTTTATGTATTCTGAGTACAAGTTCTTTTCCAGATACATGTTTTTGTTTGTTTTGTTGTTTTTCTAAAATAATTTTAAGGAGATAATTTACATACTTAAATTTCACCTTTTTAAACTGTACAATTCTTTCGTTTTTAGTATATTCACATAGTTGTGCAACTAATTCTGGAACATTTTCCTCACTCCCCATTCTTCTTTCTCCCACCCGGGCAGCCACCAGTCTACTTAGATAGAGGTTTTACAAATTTTTTTTTTCCCATGGAAAAAAAATGGGCTCAGCTGCTTATTTCCAAAAATGTTTTATTATGAACAGACATTTTTAATTTTGATAAAGTCTAACATCAATTCTTTCTTGAGTGGTTTTTGCTTTCTATGACCTAAGAAACCTTTACCTACTCCTAAGTGGGAAGAGATTCTCTTGTTTTCTTCTATAGGCTTTATGGTTTTAGTTTTATGTGTAGGTCTATGATCCATCTTGCATAAAAGTTTGCCTGTGATTTGAGGTAGAGGTTGGGGTTCATTTTGTTTTTTCCTAATGGAAGTCCATGTGATCTAGTTCCATTTACTGAAAAGACTTTTGATTTTCTCCTCCACTTTTCAAAATGTATATATATGTATTTGGGCTGCAATGGCTAGGTTACTGTCACCACTTTGGCTGGGAAACGTTACTCAAATTCTGTTTGACTTGTGCTTATCGGTTACTGCCTTACTCAAGAAAAGGAGAGTAAAGTGTGGTTAAACATTACCTCTAAGGAATGTAAGCGCCGTGAGTACTACCCTCATGAAGACAAAAGGAAATGGGGGATGGAAGGTTTACCACAGCAGCCTGTGTCGCATGTCATCATGTAAAATAGGACTTGGAGGTATCGTGTTAGAAAAAGTACTCCCCCTCTCAAATTTTGACCAAAAGATGGGCCATCTCAACAAAACACTAATGTGTTACCTTTTGTGTGCTCTCTGTTTTCAAGTGCTCTGTGCTTTGCTACTGTTGTTCTCTCTTCCCCTCAATCCTCCTCCAGCCTCTATTTTCATTCTCACATAACAGTCAAGCTGTTCTTCAAGGCCAGGCTCAATGATCCTACTCGGCCTGTGCTTTCCCTGGCATCTCTGCACTGGAATTTAGTTCCCTTCCTGGCCTGTGAACACCCATAGCACTTTCTGGCATGTCCTACCATGTGTTCGAGGTATTTGTGAAGGTGTCTCATCTCTCTCAACTAAGCCACAGATTCTTTGAAAGCAGAGAGTTTGTCATTGTGTGTTCCTCACTGTGCCTAGAATGGGACTGGCCCGGCAAGGGCCCTTTTCATCATTGTTTAGTCAGCCCTTGGGCATTTTAGCATCTTTCTGTGTGGAAGCCGAGGAGAGGTAAACGTTGGAGGGCAATTCGTTTCCCTGATGGTTTGGCCACTGGCCACAAAGTTAGGTTGCATCATGTAGAAGACAGTCTTACAGAGGACTTAGTGTTCTCTTTTTTCAAGGATGATTTAAATTATTAGTCACTATCTGTGACTCTGCCGAGAGTCTAGGTATGCATTTAAAAGGAGCTCTCTAGGACACTGAGAACTGAAATGAGGTTTTGGACACATTCTGGAATCATGGAATCGTAGTAAGAGTTCCGTTTCTGGTGGTTCTGTTTGTTTAATTTCATCACAAAACCCAATTTAAAGTGATCTTTTCATTGTGCAGTATCTGTGTCTGTTATCCCCTCTGAGAACAATTGAAAATTTGATTGCACTCTCAGTAATAGTTTTACAAAAGCTGACTTATATCGTACTTCTGTCTGACAGCAAGAAATTAAGCATATAAATGTGAGCCAAGTCGCTTGACATATAGATGCTCCCTACTTAAGAAAAGGACAAATTTTCTTCCTACACTTGAAATACATTTAAAATTATAAATAATCTGACACTCAGAAGAGCTGTCAAGCCTGCAAGTTATAGTTAATAAATTAATGTTTTGACAATCATCATGCAGATTTTTTCAGCATTGCCCAGAGACAAATTAAATCAACTAATTAAGTGTTCAGGTGTGAGTGTTTTCTTCTTCTTCTTCTTCTTCTTCTTCTTCTTCTTCTTCTTCTTCTTCTTCTTCTTCTTCTTCTTCTTCCTTCTTCCTTCTTCCTTCTTCCTTCTTCTTCCTTCTTCTTCCTTCTTCTTTCTTCTTCTTCTTCTTCGCATTTAAAGGTTAAAAAACCCAATTGCTTAAGACTCCTTGAGTGGGTGGCTGGGTCCTAATGGAAGCCATGTAGCCTGGGGCTTTTCATAGACCTCCTTAAGAAACCTTCCTCAGAGCAAGTTCATTATTTCTTAAAACGTATTCCTCATTGGTTTCTTTGTAACATATAAATTCACCTTTGCATTTAAAATGAGCATTTTCCCATTGCACTGCTAGCCAACCCTGTCGTGCTTAAGAGATGTCCATGTAACTTGCTCTCAGGTTCTTGGCCACTAGAACAGCTCTAAAATGGACACCAACTGTTCTTTATATGCAGTCATTTTATGACCCTCCTTTTCTAGACCAAAAAATCTCAGCAATAAGTGAAAAGCCTCTATCTCCTCATCCAATCAGAATCACGAAGACAGTGGATCGCAAGGATCCAGCCGTGAACATCATGTTAGAAAGGCCCTGTAATGGCAAGTAAGTGGCAAAGACACTTTCTGATTTCATTCTAGTCAGTCACCTTTGATGTTATTAGATTTTGAATTCTTTCAGTTCCCATAAGACAGACAGAAATTCTTCCTTTGAGCAAGATCTTGCCAAACTCCAAGATGGCTGAGTAAATAGCATGTTTACAAGATGGGCATTGAGTGTGTTGCATTTTAAGGAGCTTTTCCGTATTCAATAACATTTAGCTGTTTTTTTAATGTGGAAAGCATCACATCAGTACATGTGGGTTGTAGTGATATTTACTGCACGATTTGCTTTAAGAATGCTGTTGTTTAAGGGACAGATAGTCCCACATGTTGAGGGTTGGTTCCGTGAAAAGGGGAAGCAACGCATGGTGTTAGGTTGTTCAGTTTTGTTCATTGTGAGAAAGAGAAATCAAGATGAGCCTTTGGCTATCAAACCATGAGGGTAAATTAACAGTTTAGTCTTGCTTACAGATGATCTTGAATGCTTTCATCATTTTTATTTGTTCTCAGTTCCCTGGATGAAAGTGTGGGAACAGAGGAAGGATCAGAGAAAAGAGAGGCCCCTCTTCTCTCCCTAGCCGAAGATTCTCAACAGAAAGAAGGCCGAGCTCCCCTCTTTGTCCCACCGGGTATGCAGCACAGCATCGGTGACTACTGTAGTCGTTTTGAGCAGTACCTTCGGATCATATCTCATGAGGCTGTAGGCTCCTTCAACCCGTGGCTGATAGCTGAAAGGTCAGTAAAATGTTACGGTCCTCTGTTTAGGAACCAAATTGCAAAATTTTAGACTTAGAAAAAGCTGGAGAAAGCATTAGCCAAGGTCTTATCCCATATGCTTTTGGGCCCTGGAGTTTCAGTGGTTGTTCTTGGGCTAGGAGACAGGCTCTCTATTTTCAGACACAGGGAACCGTAAAACAGCACAGGCGGTGCCATCCACAGGGGTGCTCTGCAGCCTTCTTTTTCTAGGCAGAGGGTCCCAGTCAGCTCAGGCTGTCATCACAGAATACCATCGGGTTCTAGTCAGCTCAGGCTGTCATCACAGAATACCATCGGGTTCTAGTCAGCTCAGGCTGTCATCACAGAATACCATCGACTGCGTGACTTAAACAAGAATGTATTTCTCACAGTTCTGGAGGCTGGGGAGTCTAAGATCAAGGTGATGGCAGATTGAGTGTCTGTCGAGGGCCCTCTTCCTGGCTTGCAGATGGCCACCTTCTTGCTGTGTCCTCAAGTGACAGAGAAAGGGAACTGTGGTCTCTTCCTCTTCTCAGAAGGGCACTGATCCCATTGAGGGACCTCCACCCTCATGACCTCATCTAAACCTAATTATCTCCCAAAGGCCCCACCACAGATACTACCACATTGGGGGTTAGGGCTTCAACATACGAATATGGGGGAAACACAGACATTCAGCCCCTAACAATAGAAGTACAATACTCAGGAGTCAGTTAGAGCTGATTTCCTGTTGCTGTTAATGCTAATGTTGTCCCATCAGAGAACACAAAATATTCCTGGGCAGGAAACAGCCATGACCATGGCATGTTCTTGGTGGGGACAAATTTGCTTTTATCAGTAGCAGGCCTCTGATTTTGCAACATTTTCTTTAACCCTTCTCCTCCTTTCTTTATGTGGGTAAGGTAGTTTTGTGGAGTCACAAAACAAGATCCTGTAGCTACTAAATTTTGAAGAATGGGTAGCCCTTTTTTTATGTACAAATAATTAAAAGATAGGTGTAAATCTATTCTTTTTAAACAGGGCCCACATTTAAATTCCTCGCAAGTTATCACCTTGTTACAAACATGCAAGATATTTTTCATCATTGAGCTAAGTAGTATACTATAATTACATTTATATAGTAGCATAGTAGTGTACTATGATTACATTTCTTTTTATTTGCTAGTTATTTTATATATTTGTTAACTTTACGTACGCAGTAGCCAGCCTCTCAATAATATAATTTTTGTCTGGATCAAAAGTATCAGTTAATCTCTGTGATCGGCCCCACCCTTACTTTTTCTCCTGAGACCCCTTTTCCTCCTACCTGAGTCCAGGCGGCTGCTCTCCAGATCTCCTGGATGGTTTTCATCCTGGGGCTTCCCTTCCTCATCACCCTTCCTGTTAGCTTACGTCTCCCTGTAATAGATTCCCTGTTTTCTGATGCCCTTGTCTTCCGCTTTCTTGGTTTACACTCTTATTTTGATGGCGCATATCCTGTTTTGTGTATTGGAGGAAATTTCTTGAAACTTACAAGTGTGAAAGTGTCTCCCTTCATACTTGATTGATTACTTGGCTGAATTTAAAATTACTGGTTTATTTTTTCCAAAGAATATACCTTCCTTCTTTTGTGGGGGTGAGGAAGGGATTGTCACTTAGCTGCGAATAGGGGTGGAGTGTGTCAGTCCAACAGCTTGTTCTGCAAATTTTCAGCCAGTCTCCTCATTTTCTACCCCATACTGCACTCTGCCTTCATGATTCTCAGCACTCTTAACTTCCTGAGCCTTCACGATGTTTTATAGGACAAATCAGCTTGTTTTTGCCTGGCATCCCTCCCACCCCCACTTACAGACTCTTAGGTTTCAGCTCCCTCTATGCTGCTAAATCAGTTATGATTCTTCTGTGTGCGTTTATCTTCTGAAAATCTTGGGCATTTCTCACTCACGTGTGTCTCTTTTTGTAGATTTATGTATTTATTTATTTCCTTGTATTCAAGTGGGATTTTGGGTGGGATCAGGGATAATCACTTGTGTTTAGGCCCTCAGGTTGACCCTGAAGTCCTGAGACTTTTCTTTGGTATATATGATAGTACCCTTCAAAGTATATAAGATGCTTTGTTCTGGTAGAGACACAAATTTGTCTTCACATGTATTCTGAAGGATTATCTGGGAGAAGAGAAGAAGTAAACGCGACTTGCTTCCTTTTGTTAACACGCGCTCCTGTAGCATATGTACTCATTTTCTTGTAACCTGTCTGGCTTGCTTAGGCTAACCAGGATATTGGGAAACCCAAAAGCAAGCCAAGGAAGATAGACTGTTCCTTGTGTGTTCTTACCACCTGATCAAATGACACATTTTGTTCACAGTTGTTAGGTGGATGTAGGGAAAATCTCTCAGCCTATAAAGAATAACAGGTTAAAATGTAGAGGACAGAGCTATTAAAATATGCCTGGATTTTTACAATATTTTCCTCTGCTGTTCTTTGACCCCAAGTGACAGTGCATATGAACAGTCTAGCTCTGTTTCATTTTTATCTCTTCTTTTTTTATTATTTTATTTTATTTTATTTTAGATGGAGTCTCACTCTGTCACCTAGGCTGGAGTGCAGTGGTACAATCTCGGCTCACTGCAACCTCCGCCTCCTGGGTTCAAGTGATTCTCCTGCCTCAGCCTCCTGAGTAGCTAGGATTACAGGTACTGGCTACTACACCTGGCTAATTTTTGTGTTTTTAGTAAAAGGGTTTCACCATGTTGGCCAGGCTGGTCTCGAACTCATAACCTCAGGTGATCCACCCGCCTCAGCCTCTCAAAGTGCTGGGATTACAGGCATGAGCCACTATCTCTTCTTTTTTAGTTTATGATTTGAATATTCCAAAGATGAGAGTTATATTGATCAGATCTTTAAAAAGCATCCAAAGACAGTTGACTTCATCTAAAGCCTCTTGGGTAAGGAGAAAGCTGAGTTTTTTCCTTTCTTTTAATGTCTTTATTCCTCTTTATACCTGAAGAAAAGCACTGTTCCAGCAATTAGCTTGAGCAGGTGATATAAACTGAATGCAAATAAAAGAGTGATATGAAAGGAAAGGCTTAAGGTGACAGTGCTCTTATTGAAAGCAAACTCTTAAGAATTCCTGGCTTGAAAAACAATCAAGTGAATTCTGGTTGAAAAGGACAGATGAATGTATATGTTTCTCTTTACTTCCTATATCTCTATCCCACTATATGTCACTACAAGAATGAATAAAACACATGAAACCATCAATGACAGCAAACAAGAAATATCAATAAAAATTTGGAAGCCATAAAGCAGTTAGACAATGGTGACTGACTTAGCAGGCTAGAGAAAGCTAAGTGCCTAATGAGGATGAAGGCAAGAACCAAGTTTATCTGTAAAGAACATTGGTTGAGACTCAGGAATTAGAAGCATCAGATGCTTGTGAATGCATGGGTGTAGGTGTATTGGGCCATTCTTGCATTGCTATAAATACCTGAGACTGGGTAATTTATAACGAAAAGAGGTTTCATTAGCTTACAGTTCTGCAGGCTTTACAGGAAGCATGGTGCTGGCATATGCTTGGCTTCTCGGGACACCTCAGGAAACGTACCGTCATGGCAGAAGACAAAGTGGGGAACAGTCACATCACATAGCAAAAGAAGGAGCAAGCAAGGGGTGGGGGAGAATGCCACACACTTTTAAATGACCAGATCTCATGAGAACTCACTATCATGAAGAAAGACAGCACCAAAGCATGAGGGATCCTCTCCCGTGATCCAAACACTTCCCACCAGGCCCCACCTCCAGCAGTGGGGATTACAGTTCATCATGAGATTTGAGCGGGAACAAATATACAAACTGTATCAATAGATGAGTCAGGAAATAGGAGGCTTGGTTGACATTCTTATTTTTGAAAATGAGCAGATGACCTGAGATGACCAGATATTTGATAAAAGATACATAGGCTATTATATCAGATAAGCACTCTGAGGAAGCAAAGCAGACAATACAGTGAGAAGAATAAAACATTAAAAACAGACTAGAATTAATATTCTCAGAGAGCTAAGTGAAACTGTTATATCATGAAACAAGAACAGGATACTATAAAAAAGGAACTTCCAGGGAATAAAAAGAAAGTTCTTAGAAATTAAAAACATGATGGCTCAAGTAAACTCACTGGAAGGATCCAAAGAAAATGTCAAATGTCTCAGGCAGTAGAATAAAAAGACAAGAAGCTAGATAATAGAGAATAAAATATTTTTAAAATTAGAAGCCGTTCTAGGAGATTCAACATCTGAATCACTGGAGTTCCAGAATGTGGGAAAAAGGAAAAAGGAGCAATGGGAAATTATCAGAGAAATGCTATAAGAAAATTTCCCAGAAGACTGTTAGTCTTTAGATTGAAAGGGTTCATCAGTTGTCTACTTGTGAGTGAGTGAGTGAAGGAATAAATGAATAGAACAGAACACACCATGGCACATCATTATGAAAAGGAAATTTGAGCATCTCAATATAAGGAAAAGAAAGATGACAAAAGATTCCAGAGGGTAAAAACTGTACACATTCAAATAATCAGAAATGAGAATGGCATATTGTTTTTAATAACACCAGAAGCTAGAAGATATTAGAGCCTACTTCCAAAATTTAACCTAGCATGTGCTCAGATAAATTATCAATTAAAGATAAGGGCAGATAGAATAGAAACATTTTTAGGGCCCGGGTATGGTGGCTCACATCTAATCTCAGCACTTTGAGAGGCTGAGGCAGGAGGATTGCTTGAGCCCAGGAGTTTGATACCAGCCCAAGGTGAGACTTCTTCTCTACAAAAAACAAAAAATTAGCTGGGCATGGTGGTACATGCCTGTAGTCCCAGTTACTCAGGAGGCTGAGGTGGGAGGATTGCTTGAGCCCAGGAAATCAAGGCTGCAGTGAGCTGAGATGGCACCACTGCACTCCAAACAAAAACACATTTTCAGGTGGGCAAAGTGTTTAAAAATTTAGTTCACATGCTACTGGAAGATCTAGATTACCAATGCAAGATGTACATAAAGAGGAAGACTTGAGTTTTAGTAAACTTAGACTCTACCGTGGAACTTCCAGAAGAATGGCAAAAACCTTTCCAGGACAAGATTTTTCAGTGAGCATAGAAAAGAACTAATCCAGATTAGAGTAGTGGGAAAGAGCACTCCAGCAGGGATGGTTCCACAAGGGGAAATGCAGAACGGGGAAGATTAAAGAAGGAAGAAGAAGAAGAAAAACAGATACAGTACCTAATGTGTTGGAATGTAGCAGAAGTACCCTTGTATTTCTCTCACAGTTTGGGTATAAATTAGTGATAGGAATATAGAAAGTGAAGCAAACATAAAAACGAGGCAATCACTTCTGCTTCTAGTGATGACGCACTTGGTAATCTGGACCACCTCTCCCACTGAGGATAACTGTTAATAGAAAAGCTGTATTAAAAATAAAACCTATATTCTTGAAGGCATCAAGAAGTTAACTAGGTAATGAAGAATAACTGGGCCAGGGTCCTGGAGAAGACAGAGCCCTGGGGAGGTTAGCCCTTTGTTGAGCACTGGATAGTCAGTTTGTAGGGAGATGAGCAGCACTTCTGACAGCCTTTTCAGAACAGAGGACAGAGGCTGGAATTCACGGGTTGCTAAAGTGGGGGAATTGTCCTGGTGAACTTTCTTCACTTTTAATTGAGCTCCTAAAAGATTGCACTCTGGAAGTACAGGTGACCTGGATGTAAATAGGCCTTCTCAGGGACTCCACTCAGCTCCAAATTATCTCAGATTGGATTGAGGTGATTCTAGATTGTTACTGCCCCACAGGCACCATGCATTAGAAAACATAAATTTTCTCTGGAGGAAAATAACATCATCTTAGAAATCAATTTATTTCTACGACTGTTGAATACATTGTCTAGTATATGGTGAAAAATAACCAGGCAACAGAGGGACAAGACAATACCAAGAACAGACCTACGGCAGATACAAACATTAGAGCTATCAGACACAGACATTAAAATAACTGTGCCTAGTGCATTCATAGAAATAAAAGACATGAATTAGAACTTTGGCATAGAACTGGGAACTAAACAAAATCCAAATGGACATTCTAGAATGAAAGATAAAGTTTCTGAAATGAAGAATTCATTGGTTGGGCTCAATAGCAAATTAGACACAACAGAAGAAAATATTAGAGACTTGGAACATAGGACAGAAGAAAATATCCAGAGTGATTCCCGGAGACACACAAAAAAAGACGAAAAGTGAAGAAGAGAGGGAAAGGGACATAGAGGAGGTAAGAAGGTCTAACGTGTTGTTGGAATCTCAGGTCAGGAGAGAGAGAAAACGAGTCACAAACAACATCCCAAGAGATAATGGCCATCACTTCCCCAGAGTAGCAAAAGACATCAAGCCGTAGATTCAAGAAGCTCCAAAAACCCCAAGCAAGGAAAATAAAAAGAAATCCATACTCAATATTGCTGAAAAATCACAGATAGAGAAAATCTTAAAATCGGCTGGAGGAAGAAAAATCAAGATAAACAAAAACAGTGGAAACTGGAAGACCTGGCATCTTTTAAAATTCCAAACGAAAAGAACTACCAGTCTGGAGTTCTAAGCCCAGTGAAAGATACATCAAAAGGCAAGGTGAGAAAAGAGTTTCTTAACAAAGCTGAATTAGCAGTAGACCTTCACTGTAGGAAATATTAAAAAGGGTATTTTGGGGGAAGAAAGAAAACAGTCACAGATGGAAGGTCAGAAATATAGGGAGGCATGAATTTTAAAAATAGGTAAATAGGTAGGTTAAAGTGAATATTGGCTGTATGAAACAATACTGATGTTTTATGGATGCGTGTGTATGTGTACTCACACGTTTAAAATATACAGTAACAATAGTATGTAAGAATATAAGTCAGGAAGGGAATAGAGTTCGTATTCTAAGGTTCTTGCATTGTATGGGAAAAAAGGTAAGAATATCAATTAATGTTAGACGTCAAGTCATGGATACTTGTTGTAATCCAGGGTGGCCACTTAAAGAATCATAAAAGTGTGTGTAATGTCCAAGTCAATAGAGAAGAGCAAATGTAGTTTAAAAATTACAAAATCTAAAGGAAACCAAGAAAGAAGAGAGAACAAAGAGACAAATATAGAAAATGCCTATTATTTTAGAAGCATAAACTCAAATCAGAATAACATTAAATGAAAAAGGACCTTACATGCCAATTAAAAGACAAAAGATTGTCAGATTAGCGAAAAAACAAAAACTGGGTGGGAATGGGGTAGAAGGAATAGGAGAGGGGGAGTGAAACTTATCTGCATTTACCATTTTTGTGTAACTCTGACTTTTGAAACCATGTTAATGTTTCTTATACATCCCCTTAGTCAACAGGGATGGGGCGGGGGCCTTAAGTCGAATACAAACAGAAACATGAACTTAACTGTATTTCAAATAAATAATATAATCATATTAACGGCATGAAGCCTAAATAACTTTTGAACACAGTATGTTGACTCTTTACCTCTGGCTAAAGACAAAAAGAACTGTAAACACATAACTGGATTCTAGTTTGTAGGTTTCTTTTATACAGTGACATGGGTTAACAGTTGAAAACTATTTTCTCTATATTTTAGGATTGGTCAAATAAGTAAGTACATTGTGAATAATGGGAGCAAGGTTTCTAGGGGAAGGCTGGGATGAATATATGGTTTTTTATAGACGTAGAAATAGATACAGGGTGTTTCTTAGTTTGTCTGCTGAGAAGGCCCAGAAGCAGAGGTGCCAGTAGCAGTGAGCACACCCAGTACCCACATCTTGGTTTCTAAATACCGTTCTCCATGAAGAGGCACCAGATGAAGAGGCACGAGGGCTTCTTGGAAGAATGGCTGACTATAAGCCTGGGGCTGGAAAAATGTAAGATAAGCCTCAGACATACTGTGCTAGAAAGGAAGTGCTCAAAGAAAGATGGGGACATGTCGAGAGTTCACAGGAGTTCCCAAGAGGCACCTACGGGCCAAATCCAGGACATTTTCAAGCATCGAAATATGTAATAATAGTAATGGATTACAAACTATACAATAAAATAAAAATCTATAAGGCCAAACTGATAGGAATGAATACATAAGTAAAAGACAAGGGAAAGCTTTCATTACAGTAGAATGCCAGCTATTAAATGGAGAAGAAGTGATGGAAGTAGAAAATCCGTGTTTGGCAACCCTGTAATAATTGATTTAGGCGAATTTCATGAGAAACAGGAGTTTACATAGTCTCAAAGTATCTCCCTCCACTATACCTATTAATTACAAAGGGGAAAACAGTAACTTTACAAGGGAGAAACCTGGCAGACATCACCGTAACCCAGTGATGCAAAATTAACTGACATCATTAATGGATATCAAATAGATATCATGGTGCACTGAAGGGACACACTATCCTTCTGTGGCATCTCTTTCAAAACCGTATGTCCTGAATCTGATCATAAGGAAAAAACCCAAATTGAGGGATATTCTCCCCACCCCCCCAAAAAAAGGCTTTTATTCTTTAAAAAATGTTAAGGTCATGAGAGGCAAAGAAAGACTGAAGGACTATTAGATTACAGTAGACTAAAGAGCTGTGACAACAAAATGCGACATGGAATCCCAGACTGGAACCTTGGACTAGCAAAAAATTTCTTTTGAAGGAAATTATTTGGATGGTTGGCAAAATTTGAATAAGGCCTGTAGATAGATAGGCCTGTAGAATAGATACTAGTTTTGTATCAATGTTAATTTTATAATTGTTATAATTGTACCATAGTTATTTAAGAGAATGTCCTTGTTTGTAGGGCTACTTGGGAGATACGAAGCTTGCGCCGTTCAGAAAATGAAGGTGTGTGTGTGTGTGTGTGTGTGTGTGTGTGTACAGAGGAGCACCCGTGCAGAGTCCCCTAGTGTCCTCCCCCGTCTCCTACAGAGAAGGCACACCCCTTCCTCCGTCGGCCGGTCAGGCAGCTGTTAGAGGTGGGGCTAGGTTGCAGCTGGTTAGTTTCTGGTCGCCTCTGGTTTCAAACACATTGAGGATGAAGTCCATCCTGTGTATGTTTTAGGCCTGTCCCTCTAGCAGGACTTTGGGATCTAAGCACCACCATCCTTCTGTCTAGGAGAGCAGGGCCTCTCACCTTGTTTTTCTTCTTCAAAAGTATCTTGGCCGGGCACAGTGGCTCATGCCTGTAATCCCAGCACTTTGGGAGGCCAAGGCAGGCGGATCACGAGGTCAGGAGATTGAGACCATCCTGGCTAACATGGTGAAACCCCATCTCTACTAAAAAAATACAAAAAATTAGCCAGGCGTGGTGGCGGGCTCCTGTAGTCCCAGCTACTCAGGAGGCTGAGGCAGGAGAATGGTGTGAACCCGGGAGGCGGAGCTTGCAGTGAGCCGAGATGGTGCCACTGCACTCCAGCCTGGGCAACAGAGCGAGACTCCGTCTCAAAAAAAAAAAAAAAAGTATCTTGGCTGTTCTTGGCCTTCTGAATTTCCATTTAGATTTCAGAATTGACTTGTTAATTTCCACAGCTGAGTAAAAGAATGGCTCCCATATATGGCTGTACATACCTTTATTTTATTTTATTTATTTTGAGACGGAATCTCACTCTGTTGCCCAGGCTGGAGTGCAGTGGTGTGATCTCTGCTCACTGCAATCTCCACCTCCCAGGTTCAAGCGATTCTCCTGCCTCAGCCTCCTGAGTAACAGGGTTTATAGGTGTGCATGCCACCACGCCCGGCTAATTTTATGTATTTTTAGTAGAGACCGGGTTTCACCATGTTGGCCAGGCTGGTCTCAAACTCCTGACCTCAGGTGATCTGTCCATCTTGGCCTCCCAAAGTGCTGGGATGACAGGTGTGAGCCACCGCGCCTGGCCTTGTACATACCTTTAGTTGTGTTGTTTGTCTTCCAGCTTTTCAGAAGAGCTGGTAGATGAAGCTCTGGGTGCTGTGGCTGCTGAACTTCAGGATATGTGCGAAGATTATGCAGAAGCTGTGTTCACCTCAGAATTCTTAGAGGCTGCTACATAAAGGCTCTCTGAGGCGAGGCCATTTGTGTCACACTGGAGAAGGGATGGCACCACCCTTTGTTTTGGCCCACAGGAAATTTTCATCCTCAGCTGTCCATCCAGGCCCAGAAGGTGCTGCCCACTGAAAGGAAGGCAGTGCCGGGGAGGTCATCCTCACTTTGCATTTTCTTTTGTCATGGCAATGGTTCTGGAAATGTATGATGCAATGTATCACACTTATCAGTGCCCAGGCAACACAACTTGATTATGGCAATATTTTCAGAATGTGTACTTTTCCTATTGAAATACCATGTTCATTCCTCTGGCTCAGTTTGGTGATGAAAATGTTTTGAAAGATAATCGATACGTATATTTCACACAAGGATTCAGGTTGCTGTTGAACCCTTGCTGGCATTGATACCAACACAAGTGCGGCTACTAGCTGGTCCCATCACGGGGCCCCTGTTTTGCATCTTTGGCGATTTCCTGTCAGGACCTCTGGCCCTACTAGGCTGTAGACTCAGGGAGAGCACAGTCTGGCTGTGCTGCCAAACCTCTCCTCTGCTGCAGTTTATTCCAAACAGGAGCCCCCTGGCTGTCAGTGCACAATAATAGACACACATTTCTTCAACGTTCCATTCCTAGGTGATTTTCACATTTTTAGTTCCTCAGCATATTTTATTGCTGTGTGTTGACACAATCTGGTATAAAAAACTTTCTCTGGATTCAGAGGAAGTTTGAGGAATCAGGAGAGGACCAGGCCTTCTCCTGTGCCTGGGTGAAGGTACAGACCTCGCTGTGTCTCCGATGAGGTCAGAAGTGTCTCTATTTCATACCACAAAGGAACCCAAGTGGGAGTAGGGAACAGATGGATGGCGCGAAGACCTCTGTGTCTCCCCAGAGAAAGGAAGAAACTTAAGAACCATCATAGCCTGGTCCTCCAACATCTTACAGATCATGTTTTCCAAGAGAAAAGCCTGTGTTTTCAGAAACTCTGAATTCAGAAAAAGAAACGGAATGTGCGTAAGAATCAGGCCACTGCCTGGAAAGACTTTCTCTCAATTCGTAGCCTGAGGCTCAGTGAAGGAAACATGCAGAAAGAATGCCTGAGACGCCCCCAGGGAATAAGGGAACTCTTTATAACCTGTCCAGTGCCGTCATCTGGGATTTTTCTCTGAAGTACAAGAATTTCAGGTGATTTAAGCTGCTTGATCACACTTATTTGTGCAAAATTGATTTTCATTTAATGTTAATGTTTTCCTGCTTAATTTTATATAACTTCAGAATGTAAAGAGCTTCAAGGTAAATTACAGGGTGTTTAACCTGGGGAGTTAAATGTGTACACTTGAATTAATAGGAGCACCGGTTGTTGCTAGTATAAAGTAATTTGTGTGGCAGTTTGTACTGTGCTGAGTTTTTAAAATAAACCCAATATTTTAAAGTATGTGCCTATTTTAAATAACTTACATCTCCTTTTTTTCCCACAGGCAAAGTGAAATGTGATTTACAGAAACCACTGAGAATACTTTTATATGTGATATGACTATAGTGGATTATTTGCCACCCCTTCCCCCCGAGAAAAAAATTAGTGACAATAAAAGCTAACATTTATTGAGCACCTACTAGAGCATTGCTCTCCGTGCTTGCCATGTAGTAACTTATTTAATCCTCACCTCATCTCTGTGAGGTGGAGAGCATCATTGTTCCCATTGTATAGATGAATAAAACGAGGCACAGGAGGAGATAATTTGACCAAACAAACTTGGAGTTTACCTGAGCTCATCTTCCTGCCTTTCCCTATCCCCACTCGGCGTGTGCTGGGGCAGTCCCATTCTCACACTTCCTGTTGCAGCTTGTGTCCTGAAAGGCCGAGCCCAGGCTTTGCCTTGTTTCAGGATCTTCCCACTCTCTCCTGCTCCTCCCACCAGGTGGATCTGCCTTTCTCTGACTCATGTGGGTGGAGCTTCAACCAGCCCCAGTGTCCAGGTGTCAACTTTATATCCCTGGCCCATCGCAAACATCCACAGCCAGAGCATTCTCCAAAGACACAAAAATATACTGCAAGAAATAAACATTTTTCTTTGCAAATGGAAGCTAAATCCTTAGAATATAAAAGTTCCCGTTTATCGCCTCGCAGCCAGCCCAGACATCTAGAATTTTTTGTTCTTCATGAACAAGGGCTGACCGTACATCATTCTGTAATTCCCTTCAGCTTTCTCACGAACTATTCGTGTACTATTTCAGAAGCAGAAACACACGAGTTCAGTGTTTTTGTGTTGCATACGCCGTCCCCAGTGTACAGAGACATGAAAATGCACTCCGAGCGCTCCACCGGCACAGCTTGGTCACACGGGATTTCTGTCTGTTTCTGTGCTTACCTCTAGTCTGTTTAGCTCCTTGAGGGCAGGGACCCTGCCTAGCTTGTAGTTGGTGCTCAGTAAATTCTTCTGAATTAATGAAAGGTGAAGGGCAGGCTGATTGACTTTATACGGGGGGGTCTGTCACATCTCATATAGTCCACAGAAATCTATGATGTCCTTTTGTGACCCCGAGATAGAATGCCATTTGAGAACTATAATTCCATCTTGGAGGTACTGCTGCCATTGCAATTCCAGCTCAGATGGCAAGAACTTGCTTCCTTCCTCCTAGAGCAGGGCATGGGCCTCAGCCTCATGCTGCTCCTGACCTTGAGCGAGCCTTGGTCAGGGTGCTCCTGGGGACTAAGCTGGGGCGGCCCAGGGACTGGAGAAGAAGACAGAAGGATGTGCATGGGAGCCCCTTGCCTCTTGTGTTCTGTTACTATTTCAGCACTGTGGTCCCTTCTCCCTCTGCCCGCCGGAGCTGGGGTTTGGAGGAGAGATGGTGAGGAGAGAAGCGCTTTCCTCACTCCACTTCCTCCCTGGGCTCACGGTTCCTGCTTTCCTGAAGGTGGTCCGAGTGTGTTTGTGTGTGTGTGTGTTGGGGGAGTGGGGGAGGTGGAGGCATGAACTGCACTGTGGCCAGTGGGTCTGAAAGGCAGAAGGAAGGGCCTGAGGGAAGCCCCAGGGCCAACAGCAAGAGGAAGGGTCCAAGTCAGAAAGTCCCCTGTGCTCTCTGTGACAGTGTAGGTTTCCATCACGCTTCTGTGTTTCTGAGAGGAGCTCTCTTTATTTTAGCAACGTGAGACAGTAGTGAGAATTCCCTGCAGAGCCTGTAAATTCAGGGGTGTCCACATCATCATGGGCTTATGATCACCACAGAAGTGACCTTTGGGAGGGGCCAGCCTGTGAAAGGGCTCCTGGTTCTCTGGGCTCTTGAAGAGCAGCAGAAGGGCAGTGGCCTTGCCCCACTGAGCTCCATTAGTTCAGGAGCCGAGATCTCAGATCTGTTTCCACACTGGCATGTTGACTGAGTCCAATAACGTGGGCCTGGATTGGAGGGGCTTCCACCTGACATCCTGTGTACTTCCTATCAGTCCTCAGTAAGGGCCCCAGGAAATCCCAGATAGGGACCCTGGGCTGGTTGTCAGGCCCAAGTGAACTCAGGCAACAGACCCAGCAGGATCATTCCCCGACCTGGAGTGCACAGCTGGCTTCCGGAGTCAGGGCTCCCCTCCCGGTTCAGCTCCAGTGCTGGGTTCCCCTCTTGCCAGCCTGTCCAGGACCTTGCTCCACCTTCCCCAGTCTTCTCCCCAAGCCTGCACCTGCCTTCCCAGATGACCCCTTTATCCTTTATTTGCTGCTTTCCCTAGAGTCCCCTTGGCTGTTCTTGACCTCATATACCTGGAAATCCTTTCCTTGAACCAGACCTGCAGGCTTTTACTATTTTCCCTGGCTCGCTTTCCATCCATCCAACTGGACTTCTGCCTGTGGCCTGGAGTTAGGTCCATCCGTTCCCACCACTAAGGCTGCCTTCCAGCCCCCCACCTTGTCACAGCTGGCTACTCCCCTTGAGGAGTCCAAGCCACTCGCATGTGCTGTCCTCTCTCTCCCTGGTGGTGTCATTCCCCATGACACTCTGGGTCTCATAGTTTTATCTCTCCCTCCACTCATTCCAACACCTCAAAATCCTTTCTGGAGAACCTTCAAAGGTCTTACCCAGTCGTTTCTGGGGCACTTTTACCCCAAAGAGCACCCTTAAATACTATCTCAGCTGAGACCCCGTCCACCTCCATGTCCTCTAAAACCCCTTCTGGTCACTGCTGTCCCTTTGCTTTCACTGCAGCCCTCCACCCCGTCCCCTTTTACCCTCCCGACTGGGGATCTCTCCTCTTGTGTTGCTCTGCGGCCTCCTCCACCCCCACACTTCCTCTCTGCCTGCCCCGCTGAACTTAGTCATGCGTTTCCCTTCTGGTCGGCTTGGCTCCCCAGAATCTCCCACCCACACATCGTTCCTCTGTCTTCACTGTGGGTCTTGGTGAGGTCAGCCTAAGGCCTCTCACTCCTGGCCTGCAGAGCCCTGCAGAAGGTCACCGTGCCTGTGTCCCGGAAGCCCACAGCACATTCCTGCCACCTGCCACAGGGAGGCCCTCAGTGCTCCGAGATAGCTCTATCCATGCCTGGCAAGTCTTGTGGACTGGGGAGAATTCTAGGGAGACTTCCGGCTCTGAAATGCCGCGATCACGAGGGGCAGGAGCATTCAGATCCCAGACATGTCGGCTCTGCCATCTGCCCTGCAGCCCCAGTGGTCCCTAAGCCTGAGCTGAATTTGACCGAGGAAGCCCTCAGCGGACACTGATTTCTCGAGTGCATACAGGAAGCAGGGAGTCCAGGGAGCCGTGGAGATCAAACTGGCCACCAAACTTGTGCAGCCACCGTCCTGTGTGGCCCTAAAGACCTCCCGGGGGAGAGTGGCATCTCCAGGGCCAGGCTCAATAAGAGATTTGGCTTTTCTTAACCATAATTAGCCAACACATTGCTTCTGGAGAGTTACTAGAGGTCAAAAAAGTTCCCTGAATGCTTTGAACAACAGCTCACGTATTAGCTGGCACTTTACAATTTATAAAATGCATTTACATATATTCTTTCCTTACATCACTATAACCACTCCTGTTTTGTATACCAACAGTAGTTCAGCTCATTAAGAATTCGAGCCACAAGTTAAATTCCTGTGTGATTTTCATGCCTTGGTTTCCTAATAGGTGAAATGGGGATGAAAAAATAGCACCCACCCAAGGTTTTTGTGAGGATTAAGGGAAATGCCCATGAAACCACTTAGAATAACGCTGAGCAGACAGTAAGTGCTCAATAAATGTTACCTATTAGACTCCCCACTGAGAACCTCGTAAGAGGGAACCTTTCAGCTTGTCGCGCAGGCTTGGTTCCGAAGTGTGTCCCTGGCCTCCTTCCACCCATTGCACTCTCTCTCCTGCTCACAATCCTGTGTCTTTCCTTGCCTCACCTGTCACACTAGACACTCGGCAACACTTTTCCTGGCCTGGCCTTTGGCTGCTCTGAGTCACATACACATCTGGCTTCCCCCTCCAGCTGGTCCGCCTGGGCTGCCTCAGTGGACGCCCTTGCTCTAGGGCTTCCGGTGCCACCAGAAGTTTCTAAACTGGACCGCGTCCTTATGGGGTAGTTGAAGTATTAGCCCCATTTTACAGACGAAGAAACTGAGGTTTGTAGAAATTAAGGGGCTTGCTCCGTGTCATGCAGACATGGGGACAGGGCCAGAACTCAACCTGGGTCCTCTGACTTCAAGTCTAGTAGCCTTTCCATTCTGCCACACAGTTTGATCTTTCTCCCAAGTAGATGATTTTTAGATGGCTTAGGAAATCTTAGCAGATGTCAAACATAAGGGCAGTCTCCATTTTTTAAAAAATCAGCAAATATTTTCTATGGTCCCGCTCTTCGCCAGGCACAGTGGTGCTTAGTTCTGGGCATATAAAGAGGACTGAGATGTCTTGCTTCATTTTCTTTTTCTTTTCTTTTCTTTTCTTTTCTTTTTTTTTTTTTTTTTTTTTTTTGAGACAGTCTCGCTCTGTCCTCCAGGCTGGAGTGCAATGGCACAATCTCAGCTCACTGCAACCTCCGCCTCCTGGTTTCAAGTGATTCTCCTGCCTCTGCCTCCCACGTAGCTGGGATTACAGGCGCCTACTATGCCCTTGCTTCACTTTCTAACATGGCCCAGCACAGTGACCAGGTCAGAGCTGAGCTGCAGCCTCAGTTTCTAGCCACTCCATCAGGGTCTGCTTTCCTGAGCCCCTACACTCCTGCTGGGGCTGGAAACCCCGCCCACAGAGTAGCGATCACCCCACTGCTTGGGTGCTATGTCCTAGGTGCTTTATTTATATCACCTCATCTGAATCTCACACTAGCATTGAAATACAGAGTATCATCCCATTTTACAGATGAAACAGAAACCAAGCAAAGTGCAGATTTTCCCATCTGGAAAGTGGTTGTCACCGGGTCTCGTTATGGATTTGATATTCTTCCCAGCATACTGTAGTGCTGCTCCCTGGACCCTGGCATCCAGCCTGCCGCTGGCCAGGCCCCCGTCTCAGAGTCTTCTGCCAGGAGCTGGGGCTCTGCTCTGAAGGCACAAGTCAGGCAGCGGCCGCATGCTGTGCTGTGGTCTCACCTGTGGCCTTGCCCGCCTGTGCCAGCTGACTGTGAATTGGATGTGCCAGTACCAGCCCTAGCCTGGGCTGTCTCTGGGCCGGCTGTGCCCATGCAGTGCTGTTCCCCAGGTGACTTTCTGCTGCACCCAGGCCAGCCTCCACAAAGCCAGCATCCCCCGCGCTCCTGTCTAGTTTCCTCACCTGCCTCCCAAAGGCAGCATTCTCAGGCAGCCTCTCCCCACATGGTGGCAAAAATGGGCCCAGCAGCCTCAGCCTGATGTTCTCTCTATTTAGCAATCACAGCAGAAAAGAAGAGCCCGTGATCCCCAAGAGAGCAAGCCAATGCCCCTGGGTTACTGGTCTCTGCCTCTGATTGGCCCACCTTGAGTAACAAGCCCATCTCCCGTCGAATCCCTATGCTCTGATTGGTCAAATGGGAGTCATATGTCCACCCCCGGAAAAGGGGATGGATCAGCATCATCTCAGCTACAGGGACTGAACGTGGGGCAGGCAGCTCCTCCGAGGAAGATGGGGGCCCTGTTACCTGAAGCGGAGGGAGTTGACACTGGACAGGCACAAACTGCCACTGCACATATAAAAAGCAGCGCGCCTGGTCATAGACAGTTTTCAATTTGCATTACCATTCATGTAAGGTTCACTACATACTACAGAAATGCAAAGAGAGGCCGGGCGTGGTGGCTCATGCCTGTCATCTCCGCACTTTGGGAGGCCGAGGCGGATGGATTACTTGAGGTCAGGAGTTCGAGACCAGCCTGGCCAACATGGTGAAACCCCGTCTCTACTAAAAATACAAAAATTAGCCTGGCATGGTGGTGCACGCCTGTAGTCCCAGCTACTCAGGAGACTGAGGCAGGAGAATCACTTGAATCTGGGAGGCGGAGCTTGCAGTGAGTCTAGATCATGCCACTGCACTCCAGCCTGTGTGACAGAGTGAGACTCTGTCTCAAAAAAAAAAAAAAAAAAAAAGAAAAAAGAAAAAGAAAAAAAGAAAAAAGAAACACAAAGAGAGTTTAGACACAGACCTTTTCAAAGCAGAATAAAAACAAAGCAGGAGGAGAGGGAAGCTAGCGTACTGTGGTTGTACATTGCAAGGGGCGATTCACTGTTACTGAGTGAGGGTTGTGGTTTTGATGGTCTTCATGGAGGAGGTGGCTTTGAATTAGGCCTTGAAAGATAGTTGACGCTTTTCCAAAGCGTGAAGTCTTGAAAGTGGGGGACATAGGTGTGAACACAGTGCGATTAGACAGCAAAGGTGCTGGCGGTATTTACCAGAGCCGAGAGGTCCACACTGCCATCTCAGCCCTACGCAGGTGAGCAGGAGAGCACCCTGTACCCCAGGAGGCTGAATGCATTGGAGGCACTGAGGAGTGGCCTCAACAGCTCATTACTCCACCGGGCAAAGAATTTCATCCAGCTTCAAGAAGATGCTGTTGAGTAGGAATAGACAGCTTCCCCCATCCTGTCCTCCCTCCCTCCCTTTGAAAGCAAGACTTACCTCGGATTGCCCTTGCTCACGCTTTCTAATCTTTATTCTGTTTCTAAATGGGGGAGTCTACCGGGACCCCCAGGCCCTTGTCAAGTGCTCCATCTGTATTTAATCAATCCCTCCTCTGAAATCCAATCCGTCATAAATTCCAGCCGCACAATAAATGTGTAGAGAGGTCTGCAGGCATGGGCTTTTATAGTCAAAGAGAAACAGAATTGGTGCCCAAATGATTGAATGGAGAACAATGGGACTCCGAGAGAGGTGCGTGCAGGAGGGGCAAATATCGGAGGGCGAGTGGCTGTGCCTGGAGAGCCTGCTGTTCTTGGCCTGAGTGTGTGCCCTCCCAGCAAGGCGGGCATGTCCTCTGCCGGCCTCCCCGCATTTATTAGCCCTTGGTAATGGATTTTATATCTGCTCAGTGTGATGAAGGAGTCTTGGCAGTCCTCAGAGACCTGCAGAGTCTCCTCCCAGCCCTCCAATGAGAAGCCGGCAGCCTTCGTCACCCTTGTAGGTGGCTCTCTGGCCAACATTTACTTTAATGTCAAAAAGAAATCCCAGGCATGGGATTTGAAACAGACGCGGGGCCAACAGGGTGGCTGGGTCTTTGCGAGGACAATCTGGGCAGGGCCTGGGGGCCTGGGCTCTTTCTCTCCATGTTGATCGTGGTGTAGCCTCTGGAGGGGCACGTAGTGGGCTCCCCATTCCGGGCTGGGGCCTCGGACTGGCATGCATCACTTGTGACCTGCAGCATGTGTGACAGAGGCCGCCTGGGCATGAGGGCGGGGGCTGCTGGCTTGGCCGCCAAAGCTTTTAATTAACTCAGATAATTGTTCACAGCTTTAGGCATGAAAGCCCCAGGCTCCTCACACTGACTTAGGGGGCCTGTTTCCCATCGGAACAAAGGAATTGACTAAAACTGGAGTTCTTGCTATTTTGAAGGGTCAGGACCCCTTTATAAACCTGGACAATGCTGTGGACCCTTTCTTCAATAAAGACACACACATAGGGGCCGGGCGAGGTGGCTCACGCCTGTAATCCCAGCACTTTGGGAGGCCGAGGCGGGTGGATCACGAGGTCAGGAGCTCGAGACCAGCCTGGCCAACATGGTGAAACCCCGTCTCTACTAAAAATACAAAAATTTGCCAGGCATGGTGGCGCGTGCCTGTAGTCCCAGCTACTCGGGAGGCTGAGGCAGGAGAATGACTTGAACCCAGGAGGCGGAGGTTGAAGTGAGCCGAGATCGCGCCACTGTGCTCCAGCCGGGGCGACAGAGCGAGACTCCATCTCAAAAAAAAACAAACAAACAACAACAACAAAAACAAAAACAACTATCTAGAACAGTTCATGTACCTAGCAGTGTCCTTGTCACAATACACTTTCCGATCTCCGAGGCAGGCAGAGGCTTTACTACCCCTTTTTCTGTGAATGAGAGCAAAAACCCAGAGTGGAAACAGGTCTCACAGGAAATCAGAAGCAAAACTGGGACTAGGCCTACGGTCCTCTGATTCCCAGTCTGGTGCTCTCTTTTGATGCATGAAAAAAACCCCAAACAAACCAAAACAGAAAACCTCATCCCCCCACCCCAGGAATGTCCAATAACTCTTCCCCTCTGTGTACGGAGGGGAGCAGAAATCCACTTCCCCAAGTGGAGCCTCACTGCATCTTAGGCTCAGAAGGCTTTTGTTAAGTATTACTTTCTACAGCTTGAAATAGAATGTCAAGAAATAGAACTCTGAAAATCATGGTTGTTCTTACTTCCCAAGTATGAAATATTGCAATGTCGAAACATTGGAAAGCACACAGCCTGCAGCAGCCCCAACAGGAAAGCACTACGGGAGGACCAGCAGCCTCTTCCTCCCTGGGAGGCGGGGAGGGATCAATCTGGGAGACCCCCCAGCCCCTTCTGTGCAGTTTCCTGCAGAGGATGCTCTCACGTCCTCATGCCGGGAGGAGTGCCCATCACAGGTGGCCGAAAAGTCCCTCGCTCACACACCCCTAAACAAAGGCAGCTGCACCCTTCTGAAGGTTTCTGGAACCCTTAACTTTGGCTGGGGTCTCGGGGTGAGCTCTGGGGGGATTGCTGGGTAGGTGTGATGACACAGCCCCTGCTGTTGAAGTCATTTGGAATTCATGATGCAATCCCTCATGAGAATTGTCCAACCCTCAGAAGTCTATTGCACTCTCTATGCCCTTGGAATATGGTTATGTGGATACAGGGTCCTGCCTCCCAAGATAGGACCCTTCAATCTTTGTCTCCCACACCTGGAAGCTGGGGCATGCATGTCCCAGGCTTGGCTAATCATGCTTGGCTGGAATGAGTGATTCAAAACTGATGTTTCTTTATAACCCACTCATTCAGGGGCTGGTGTGTACAGCGAAGAGAGTGGCCATCAGACTAAAGTCCTTCTGCTAAAAGGTGACTGCTGTGCTTTCTAGAAAGTTCTTGGCCTTCTCCAGCAGCCTCAGTTCCCATCTGCTTTTCTTTTTTTTCGTTTTTGAGACAGAGTCTTGCTCTGTTGTCCAGGCTGGAGTGCAGTGGCGTGATCTCTGCTCACTGCAACCTCTGCCGCCCAGGTTCAAGCGATTGTCTGGCCTCAGTCTCCCGAGTAGCTGGGGCTAAAGGCATGCACCATCACACCCAGCTAATTTTTGTATTTTATTTTATTTTATTTTTTAGTAAAGATGGGGTTTCACCATGTTGGCCAGGCTGGTCTCGAACTCCTGACCTTAAGTGATCTGCTCAGCTCGGGCTCCCAAAGTTCTGGGATTACAGGCATGAGCCACTGTGTCCAGCCCCATCTGCTTTTCAAGCCTATCCCTGCAGGCTCCTCTGATTCTCTGAGATCCCGATAGCCTGCCAATAAACTCCCTTTCTGCTTCAGAGAGACTGAATCTGTGTCTGTTACTTAGAAAGGGAAGCAACCGGTGTTGCATACACATTGCCTGGACCTTCTATGACATCTGCAAGCAACTGCGATCTGTGTACCTGCTACATGCTGCTGCTTCTCTTGACAGCGATGCGTGGAAGGGAATGCTTCTCAGGGCGACACAGAGAGAGAGGAAAGACTTACCGACACAAGCCAGGGACAGCCGCCTACATCTCCATGGGAGAGTGGGAGGAGAGAGCCTTGAGTTAAGAGCCTGGACTGTCTTTCAGTCCCAGTTGTGCCACCAAATGCCCTGTTTTTGACTGCCCCCCACCCCCATTACCCAGTGCTGAGCTTCCCCATCAGTACAGTGAGGTGCCGGGGTTGGATCCCGTGGATTCGGGAGGGCCTTCCTCCGCCGCCAGGTTCCAAGTCCAGGAAGTCCTTCCAGCTATTCTGCTTCCTCATCTGCACAGAGGAAGCCCCCACCAGCTGAGACTCCCTCCCCAGGTGCTCTGAACCTGAAAACAAAGAGCAGTTGTGTGCCCCTCCCTGTCCATCACTTTCCCTACCCGTCACACCTCTCTCCCTCTCTCCCCCTTATAAGCTGCATGACTGAAGGTCAGGGCTTCCCAGGAATACTTACCTTTTTGCCTTTGCCTTCCTGCCTTTAGAAACTGATTTACATAAAACAACCAGAAGGGATTTCTGGAACTGCGTCTTCATTCACCAGTGGCCCTTCTGGGCCAAGATGTTTCTCTGATGGACTGTGTCCTTCAGCCGGTAATTTAATCGGCATCTGCTTGGTGCAACGTCTCCCACTGTGGTTTACCAGGAATGGCTCGAAAAGGGATGTTTCCGTCTTTGTGAAAGGCTGCGATGCCTGGAGTCCCCAGAGTGTCCTTTCACTCGGCGTGTAATCTAGTATATCTTTAATAAGTGGAGTCAATTCACTTTCAAAACCCTTGTAAAATTCAGCCTTTTAGTCATTCTGACCAGAAGCATTCAAATTGCAATATGAATAGATAGCCCCAGCAGCCCCGGGAGATCTGCCTGGGATACTAGGTTGGCAGCCACAGAGGAGGGAGGCATTGATAGCCTCGGGAGGCCCTGCCCAGGCAAAGGCAGCTGCCTCTGGGCCCTGGAGAATCCTGCCAACTCAGCTCCTCCCTCACCCCCTCTACTTGTCAGGGCACCTCGCACAGGGATTAGGAAAACCATAGGATCGCAGCCAAGCCCCAAAGGCTCAGGGACACCGGTGAGTCTAGCAGGCTCACTGTATAGACAAGGAGGGGCTTGCTTTGGTGAATTGCGTGAGGTTGCACCAGCACTTAGTGGCAGAACCTCAGCCTCTTGGTTTTCTGTGTCTGGTTTTTGTCTTATTTTTTCCTGTCTTCTTCTTCTCTTGTGGCGAAGGCAGGAGTGTGGACATTAGAGGGACTGGGTTTGAATACCTGCTCTACCACTTATTAGCTGTGTGACCTAAATACTTGCTCTTCCACTTATTAGCTGTGAGGCCTTTCTAAGCCTGTTTCCTTATCTGTAAAATGGGAATGGTTCTAAGAATCCCTCCCTCCTAATGTTGCTATAAGGATTCAAAGAGGAAACACGTGAAAAGCACTTAAAACACTTCCAGGCACATAATAGTCACTCAGCAAATATCTATTCCTGTTGTTCTTCTGGTTGTTATTTTTCTTTTCTTTTCTTTTCTTTTTTTTTTTTTTTGAGACGGAGTCTCGCTCTGTCGACCAGGCTGGAGTGCAGTGGCGTGATCTTGGCTCACTGCGAGCTCCGCCTCCCGGGTTCACACCATTCTCCTGCCTCAGCCTCTGGAGTAGCTGGGACTACAGGCGCCTGCCACCGCGCCCGGCTAATTTTTTTGTATTTTTAATAGAGACGGGGTTTCACCATGTTAGCCAGGATGATCTCGATCTCCTGACCTCATGATCCGCCTGCCTCGCTCTCCCAAAGTGCTGGGATTACAGGTGTGAGCCACCACGCCCGGCCGGTTGTTATTTTTCTTAGCGTGCTGCTGCTGTACAGCAGGAGAGAAGTAGAGGCAACAGGAAGAGCTTCCCAGCTGGTAGAGTTAAAGAACTGGAATGGCCTCCTAATAAGTGAAGGGGTTTCTCCCCTACAAGCTTTAAGCCATCAGAGATCTGAAGGTTTTCACAAAGTCCGGAATCGGGGAGAAGGAGGGAAGAACAGAATGACTCTTTTTTTTTTTTTTTTTTTTTTTTTTGAGACATAGCCTTGATCTGTCACCCAGGCTGGAGTGCAATGGCGCCATCTTGGCTCACTGCAACCTCCGCCTCCGGGGTTCAAGCGATTCTCCTGCCTCAGCCTCCCAAGTAGCTGGGATTACAAGCGCTCGCCACCACGCCCGGCTAATTTTTGTATTTTTAGTAGAGACGGGGTTTCACCATGTTGGCCATGATGGTCTCGATCTCCTGACCTCGTGATCTGCCTGCTTGACCTACCAAAGTGCTGGGATTACAGGCGTGAGCCACCATGCCTCGCCCAAAATGACCTTTTCTTAGAGGCTTGCTCCCCACAACAACTGTCTTAGCTTTTATTCAGCAGCTGCCTGTGCTCCCAGCAGTGTGGGGTCCTCTCTTAGGAGTCAGCAACGGTACACTTTCAGGTCTGGGTCAATGGCACAGATTCCGTCTCTGCAGGGTGGGCTGTAGTAGGAGTTTTCATCATATGAATGTGTGATAGTGGGGTGGAGGTTGGGGGGCACCAACACTTATTTCTGTTGTTGCACAGGATGCCTTTCCATGCCGACAGCTCACACAACCCACTCTTCTCCCCTGCCTTCTGGGAGGGTTGTGGTGGGCACCACTGCACTTAAACTGGAGGAGAGAGATGAAATTTCTTTTTTTTTTTTTTAATTTTTTTTGAGACAGAGTCTCGCTCTGTTGCCTAGGCTGGAGTGCAGTGGCGTGATCTCAGCTCACTGCAACCTCTCCCTCCCGGGTTCAAGTGATTCTCCTGCCTCAGCCTCCTGAGTAGCTGGGATTACAGGCGCCCACCACCATGCCCAGCTAATTTTTGTATTTTTAGTCACCATGTTGGGCAGGCTGGTCTTGAACTCCTGACCTTAGGTGTTTTGCCCATCTCAGCCTCCCAAAGTGCTGGGATTACAGGCGTGAGCTACTGCACCCGGCCGAGAGATGAAATTTCTATCCCAGGGCAGAGGTTCCTGCTCAGTGAGACTGCAGCCACCCTGCTGGCTCTGCAGGAGACTCTGAGGAGAGGCAGTGGGCCCTGGAGTGTTCTGGCCAGGGGAGCCCTAGGTAGATTGCAAGACACTTGCTTTTTTTTTTTTTTTTTTTTTTTTTTTGGAGGAGTTTTACTCTTGTCGCCCAGGCTGGAGTGCAATGGTGCAGTCTTGGTTCACTGCAACCTCTGCCTCCTGGGTTCAAGCAATTCTCCTGCCTCAACCTCCTCAGTAGCTTGGATTACAGGTGCCTACCATCCATGCCCTGCTAATTTTTTTAATTTTTTTTTTTATTGTTAGTAGAGGTGGAGTTTCACCATGTTGGCTAGGCTGGTCTTGAACTCCTGACCTCAGGTGATTCGCCCGCTGCCTCAGCCTCCCAGAGTGCTGGGATTACAGGCACGAGCCACCATGCTCGGCCTCAAGACTCTTGGTTTCTAAAACTAGTGCTCACTTTTCCTGCTCTGGGCTTGGGGTTTACCATCCTTCAAATGAAGGGACCAGCAGAACAGCCTCTCGAGAGGGCAGTTTGGCGATGAGTTATTTAGGGAGGCGGAATGTGGAATTCCCTATGGCCCGACAATTCCAACGCTGTGTGAGAGCCCCAGAGAGGTTCTCACATGGGAACACAAGAAGTGCACGGGCTGTTTGCTGCAGCACCGTTTGTAACAGCGAGGAACTATGAGACCTAATTGGTCCTTTAGAGGAGATTAGAAAAATAAAATGAGGTATATCACACAACCAAATAGTATGCAGCAGTCAAAAGGAACAAGCCAAATCTACAAATACTAATGTGGATTCATCTCAAAAAACAATACTAAAGGGGAAAGTAAGAAGCAGAATATGCTGTCCCCATGGTGACATTCCGTAATGTTTGAAATACATACATACGAGTATGTAACACTCATGCATACATACAGATGGGGAAAAGCTTTAGAAAGCAGATTGGGAGGCCAGGTGTGGTGGCTCACGCCTGTAATCCCAAAACTGTGGGAGGCCAAGGCGGGCAGATCACCTGAGGTCAGGAGTTCGAGACCGGCCTGGTCAACATGGTGAAACACATCTCTACTAAAAATAGAAAAATTAGCTGGGCGTGGTGGCCAGCGCCTATAATCCCAGGTACTCGGGAGGCTGAAGCAGGAGAATCACTTGAACCTGGGAGGCGGAGGTTACAGTGAGCCGAGATCTCGCTACTGTACTCCAGAATGAGACTCCATCTCAAAAAAAAAAAAAGAAAAGAAAGAAAAGAAAAAAAATGAAAGTAGTTTGGGAAATGTGCAAATTCAAAGTAGACCCCTGGAGGAGAGGAATAGAATGGGGTTTGGGGACTAATGATAGACTGTGCCCAGACTGGGGGGAGATGCCATGTGGGGTAGCACTGTACCACCAGTCCTATGATAGCCTACCATGTGCACCTTAGGTTAAAACAAAGTCAAGATGGTTTGGATCCAGGTGATCCCACGGGATCTTCTGACACTGCCATGTTGGTTTCTCTGGGACCTGGATAGCACAGCCACAGCTGGAACCAAAACAATGGGCTCCAGAGTGAGGACCTCGGAGAGTAGCAGAGCCTGAAAGGAAACCTGTAGCCAAGGCAAAGGTGCAAGCACCATAAGACGTGGAGATAGTAAACCAGATGCAGAGAAAGTCACCATCTATTTTTTTTTTTTTTTTTTGAGACAGAGTCTCGCTCTGTCGCCCAGGCTGGAGTGCAGTGGCACGATCTTGGCTCACTGCAACCTCCGCCTCCCAGGTTCAAGCGATTCTCCTGCCTCAGCCTCCCAAGTAGCTGGGACTACAGGCACCCGCCACCACACCCAGCTAATTTTTGTATTTTTAGTAGAGGCGGGGTTTCACCATGTTGGCCAGGCTGGTCTCGAGCTCCTGACCTCGTGATCCGCCCACCTCGGCCTCCCAAAGTTCTGGGATTACAGGCGTGAGCCACAGTGCCCGGCCACCTTCTATTAAAATCATCATTTTACATGATCTGATTGTGATTTTCTGCCCTTGTCCAACACTGTTTTGTTAGTAATCAGGCAGCTTTCCCCCCTTGATCTGTCTGCCTTATCATCTACCACTGTATTTGATTTTCTGAGTTTTGGGATCTGTCAGGAACAAACAATATTGTGTGTGAGGCTGGGGCAGGGGAGGGACACGGCTGAGGTCAGAGCCTCTGGATTTGCTTGTTCCTCGGCACCCAGTGCTGATGGGAATTTGCAGGAATGCAGACACAAAGAGCCCATCCTGCAGAGAGTTTTAGATTTTCACCCAGTTTCTAATTTTAATTTGGTCTAAGTGTAACTTCAAGACAACTGGGCTTGCTTGGGGCCAATCTCAAGTCTTGACAGCAAACAAGCGCAAAACGCAGGTCCAACTGCCAAAGCTTTGTGAGCGAGATAAATTGTTGCTGACATTTTCGGGGGCAGATAGGAGGGCTCCACAGCAGAACCTATTGGGCAGCCTGATTAAGCTCTTTCCTCATAATTCCTCTCCTTACGGCAGCTGCTAGATTTCTCCTTGCCTCTACCCAACCACCCCTCAGCCTCTCCAGATCCCCTCTCCAAAATCCCATCTACCAGCACACCCCATTCAATAAGGCTAAAGCAAGCTAAACAGCAACTGAGAAAACGCAATCCAGGCTTGGGCCTCAACTTATTTCAGCATCTCAAATAAAAAGCTGGGCCAGGCGTGGTGGCTCACGCCTGTAATCCCAACACTTTGGGAGGCTGAGGCGGGTAGATCACTTGAGGTCAGGAGTTCGAGACCAGCCTGGCCAACATGGTGAAACCCCATCTCTACTAAAAATACAAAAATTAGCTGGGTATGGTGGCTTGTGCCTGTAATCTCAGCTACTCAGGAGGCTGAGGCCGGAGAATTGCTTGAACCTGAGAGGCGGAGGTTGCAGTGAGCTGAGATGGGGCCACTGTACTCCAGCCTGGGTGACAGAGCGAGACTCTGTCTCAAATTAAAAAATAAAAAATAAATAAATAAATAATCTGATGAGGTCCAGTTCAACAGATTCTGCAGATGTCTCCAGACATGTTTTGAAAACACAGCGGAAACACGCACATGTATGTTTTCTAGATTTTGCCGCCCACTGTGGTGAGAATAAAGGGGGAATGCAGTCTCATGTAAAGACAGAACATTTTGCTTGGTCTGCTCCGTGGGGGGTCTGTCTTGGGTAGGGGGGTCCTTACACATGGGGGTCTGGGGCTCACCTAAAAGGTCACGTGTTAACCTTAAGGGAATCTTCCTGCCCCTGCAGGAAATCACACATAAGACGGTGGTGGCCAGTGCCTTCTTTACAGCATCTGCCTTGAGGGTGAAGCCACAGCTGTCAACGTAACTGCTGAGAATGGACTCACCAGAGGGGATTAAGACAGGCAGGTCCTAGCCCTTCTTGGGGTCGAAGGTAGAAGCACACACTAGATTGGCTGGGCACGGTGGCTCACACCTGTAATCCCAGCATTTTGGGAGGCCGAGGCAGGCAGATCACTTGAGGTCAGGAGTTCAAGACCAACCTGGCCCAACATGGTGAAACCCTGTCTCTACTAAAAATACAAACATTAGCTGGGTGTCTAGTCCCAGCTACTCAAGAGGCTGGGGCAGAAGAATCGCTTGAACCCCAGATGTGGAGGTTGCAGTGAGCTGCGATTGTGCCCCTGCACTCCAGCCTGGGTGACAGAGTGGGACTCCATCTCAAAAAAAAAAAAAAAAAAAAGAGCACACACTAGATAAGCCACAGCCACCAGCAGGGAAAAGGAAAAGGTGGAGGAAGAGGAAGAGGATGGGAAGAGGAGGAGGAAGGGGAAGAGAAGGGGAGGAGGAAGAGGAAGAGGAGGAGGAGGGTAGGAGAAGGAGGAAGAGGAGGAGGGGAGAAAGAAGAGGAGAAGGAGGAAGAGGCAGAAGGGAGGAGGAGGAAGAGGAGGAGGAGGAAGGGGAAGAGGAAGGGAGAGGAGGAAGAGGAGGGGGAGGGGAGGAGGAAGAGGAAGAGGAGGAAGAGGGAAGGAGGAAGAGGAGGGAAGGAGGGAGGGAGAAGGAGGAAGAGGAGGGAAGGAGGATGAGGAGAAGGAGGAAGAGGGGAGGAGGATGAGGAAGAGGAGGAGGGGAGGAGGAGGGGAGAAGGAGGAAGAGGAGGAGGAGGAGGAGGAAGAGGAGGAGGGGAGAAAGAAGAGGAGAAGGAGGAAGAGGAAGGGAGAAGGAGGAGGAAGAGGAGGAGGGGAGAACAAAGAGAAGGAGGAGGAAGAGGAGGAGGAGGAAGAGGGGGAGGAGGAGGAGAAGGAAGAGGAGGAGGAGGGGAGAAAGAAGAGAAGGAGGAAGAGGCAGAAGAAGGGAGAAGGAGGAGGAAGAGGAGGAGGAGGGGAGAAGGAAGAGGAGAAGGAGGAAGGGGAAGAGGAAGGGAGAGGAGGAGGAAGAGGAGGGGGAGGGGAGGAGGAAGAGGAGGGGGAGGGGAGGAGGAAGAGGAGGAAGGGGGGAGGAGGAGGAGAAGGAGGAAGAGGAGGGAAGGAGGGGGGAGAAGGAGAAGGAGGAAGAGGAAGGGAGAAGGAGGAGGAAGAGGAGGAGGAGGGGAGAATGAAGAGGAGAAGGAGGAAGAGGAAGGGAGAAGGAGGAGGAAGAGGAGGAGGAGGGGAGAATGAAGAGAAGGAGGAAGAAGAGGGGAGGAGGAAGAGGAGGAAGAGGGGAGGAGGAGGAAAAGGAGGAAGAGGAGAGAAGGAGGATGAGAAGGAGGAAGAGGAGGGGCGGAGGAGGAGGAAGAGGAGAAGAAAGAGGAGGAGGAAAAGGAGGGGAGGAGGAGGAAGAAGAAGAGGAAGAAGACAAGGAGGAGGAAGAGGAGGAGAAGGAGGAGAATGAGAAAGGAGGAGGAAGAGGAGGAGAAGGAGGACAATGAGAAGGAGGAGGAGAAGGAGGAGGAGGAAGAGGAGGAGAAGAGAGAGAATGAGAAGGAGGATAATGAGAGGAGGAGGAAGAGGAGGAGGGGAGGAGGAGGAGGAGGAGGACTACGAGGAAGAGGAGAAGGAGGAGGAAGAGGAGAAGGAGAAGGAAGAGAATGAGGAGGAGGAAGAGGAGGAGGAGGAAGAGGAGGAGGAAGAGGAGGAGAAGGAAGAGGAGGAGGAGGACGAGGAGAAGAGTAGTTCTGGATGGAAGGGCATGTTCCACTCAGTGTTCTGGATGCTGGGTGGAATTGGGGGCATCCTGGGGCAAGGAGGAGACGGTGACAAGAAACCAGCTACTCTCAGAACAATTCTGTAAGACTCCAAGGAAGAGCAACTGTGTCTGGGACTACTTTTATGATTAGGGGTGGTTCCCATGGCAGTGGACAGCAACCATGACACTTTAAAGCATAGGAACCAGAAAGGAGGGGGTGAAGAAGGGTACATAGGCTGGGAAATACATCAGGAAGGGGTGCTTCCAGTGGTCCAGGTGAGACATAGTGATGTGATATTGGCCAGGGAGTGAGACTCAAGGACAAAAGGGGCTGTGGAAATTTACAAGTGGGAGTGAACACTCCTAGCTGGATGTTTGTGTTTGGCCTGGGAGGATGGCCCCACTTGCTTGTCCATGTTCATGTCATCCTCTTGGCTTTGGCCCATGGTTCCAGTTTGTCAAGGCCATGGTGATTGGGTTTGGCCCGTGGTCCCAGCTTGTCAAGGCCATGGTGAACAGCCGTGCATCTGTCCAGTCTGCATGAGCAGCGTCCTTCTTACACAGCTTATTCTCTGTTGTGAGCACTTGCGCTGAGATGCTTGACATGGCTCAAGTCCTGGAGGGAGGTGGAGGCTCCCTCCACTGGAGCCCATCAGGGAGTGGACCGGGGTAAGCCACTTGACCAGGCTATCTTCTTGCTCCTGACTCCCTTTGTTGTTTACAAAGTTACTGTCAGAGAGCTGGGCAGCAGCCGTGCCCCAACCCAGGCCCAGAAGGCAAGGCGATGCCCAACTCCACTAGTCGTTATAACCGTGTCCAAATAGGAAATGAGCTTTGCCTGGCATGACTAGCTTTCAGGGGGGCCATGTTGGCTCCTAGGAACTGTCACTTAGCTTTCCAAGTGCTCACACCAGCTGTCCAGGCTGGATAGCCAGGCCTGGGGTCTGCCATGTCGAGGAGTTGTCTTGCAGCCAGCTCCCACTCCTTACCCACCTGGAGCTCTCCAACCTGTCCACATCTCTGCACACGTCCTCCACAGCCATTGACAGGATGGGCCCCTGCTCATTTTTACTGGTTCTCTGGGCTAGATGCTTGCCTGGGCCTGGGAGCAGCTGGCCACTGTGAAGGCAGGAGCAGAACAAGCTGTGGTCAGAGGAAAGGGCCTGGGTGCCAGGTCTCAGAGAAGGGATTTGATCTGGTCTCCTGGCACAGTAACTCTGGTAACTGGGAGAGTTACTGGCACAGTAACTCTGGTAACTGGGAGGCCCCGTAGGCCCTGGCTGGCTCCTGCCTCTCTTTCCTCCGGGCAGCAGAGGTCAGCGTGGCTAAATTGCTAGTTATCCCTTTCTTCAATTAAGGACAATTCTTCTGACGCAGGAAGTTAACTCCCACCAGTTAATCTAATGGCCTTGAGTTTTGATGTGTTTGCTCTGTCAGAAGGCTGGGCTGGAACTTCCTTGGCAGCTGGTAACAGTCAGTGCCTTCAGGGGCTGCCTTAGGGGCGGACAGAGGCTGGGGTGAAGGTTTAAAGAGGGGAACCATGGATCTGGGCCTCTGAGTCGTGGTTTTCAGGGGACAGATCTGGCTTACTGTCTTCCCATCTGAGAAATGGGGTGTGGAGTGGTCTGGAGAGATGAGTTCTGAAACTCCCATCAACTTGGCACCTCCCCTTAACCGCTCCACCCAGGCCCTTCTGGGTGACTAGTTTAGGGTTTGTGAGGACTAAGTGGTGGGAGGGGAAGGGGTCTGGGTGCCCACCCAGGGAGCATCTGTCAGCAGGTGTTTGCCTGTGTTTGTGTGTACGAGTGTGCCTACACACACCCATGCATGCATCCCTAAGCACACACAAGCACACACACATACACCCCATGCACACATACCCAGGCACACACACAAACACAACGTGAAGCTGTGCCCAGAAGCAGGAGGGCCCTTGATGCCCTCTGGTCACTGCTGCTACTGTGAGCCAGGGCTGGGGAGGAGCTCAGGCCCAGGCGTGTCCCCTCTGTGGCAGGCGCATTGCTTCTTCTGCAGCCAGCGTTCTGTCTCCTGCGTGACCACTCACACCTACAGACCAGGTGGCCAAGCCTGGACATTGTCCAGGCTATCAGGCCTCTGAAACACCTCAGGGAAGGGTGAGGCCAGTGAGGCCCAGTAGACAAAGCACAGGGGCCTGAAATTGATCCTCCATGACCACAAGCACCGAACTTTCTTAGCCCCCACTTCGTTATGTGTATGCTGAGGATAACGCAATGTAGCTGAGAGAGTACATGAGGGTAAATACCGCCTGTTCAATCAATAGTCCTTGTTATTCTCATCCCCAGTCCCATTCTCATAGTGGGGAAAGGCTGCAGGGTCCATTCCTGCTCTCCCAGCTGGTGACCAATGGCAGGTGCTGGTGAACAGCGTTGGATTCAGGAGCCCAGAGCTTCTGAAATTCTACATCTGTTGGAGTTGGTGCTGTCATCTGGCTCTGGGATCCAGAGCTCTTGGGACTCATGGGTTTCCTGGGAGGTGAGCTCTGGCAAACGTGGATGGTTGTTCTCCCTGGGTGAATCCATACTAGGGAGTTTGGGTAGAAGGCCTTGGGAAGCCCTGGTTTTGTTGGGTGAGGTGTCGGAAGGCAGAGCAGAACTCATGGATGGGACATGCGGGTTGTAGATTTCAGCTCAAACGAGTAAGAACATTCTTAAGGCCAGCACTAGCCAAAAAAAAAAAAAAAAAATTAATAAAAGGAAGAACTCTCACTTAAGATACTGAGCTTCCTGTCCTTGGAGGTAACCAACCAGGAGCTGGAGGACTGCTTAGCAGGAATCTTGTGAATGGAGTCAAAGCCCCAGAGAAGGCACTGGACTGAGAGCCCCCATCTAACCCCATGTGTGCCCTGTTTCCATAGAGGAGCTTGCAGGACCCTGGAGCCTGGACCATGGATGGAATTCTCCAGTTGACCTTTTCCCTGTTAAGTGGAGTGGGACAGGGTGGGTTGGGTGCCTGGCTCTACAGATGGTAACTGGGCTTCAGCCTTACCAATTCCTGGGGGAGGCAGGGCACCCTCTCAGTGGAGGGTTGTTACCTCTCAGGCACCGCCAAATACAATTGGCCATCTCCTGCTCTCTTTTGGGGCTGGACTGTGGATCCCTGCTGCCCCTAAACAGAAGTCATAACCCATATCTCCCCGGACCACAAGGCCTGTCCACTAGAATCTCTGCATCCCGATTTAGGAAGTGGAAGGCGGGTACTGCTCACCACCAGGCCGCTGGGGTCCACAAAGCCTGCTCCAGCCTAGAACCCCAGGTGGATGTGCAAGTGTTTTACTTATCCCTTGAGGGTTAAAATCACGGGAATCCTTTCTCTTTTGAGGTTAGGTCAGACGCCATAAATGATCCAGAACCCCTGGAGCGGGGGCTGATGGAGGGGGTCCCTCTCTTGTCTCTGATCCCAGAGCGACTTTCCTCTTGACTTCGTGGGGGCCTCCCTTGGATCCCTGTCCTCCTTCCTCTCTCCGCTCCCTCTGTCCGTCTCTCCCGGAGCCGGAGCCGGGCTCTGGGTCTCTGGTCTCCTCTGAATTTCTCTCTCTCTCCCTCCACCTCGGCGTTCTGGCCCTAGGAGCGTCTCTCTCCAGCGCTGTCTAATAGTCTGTGCGCCCCTCTCCCAGTCCAGGGCCCCGTCTCTGGCCCGCAGTGTCTCGGGCTGTCTCCGCGTCTCTGAGCCCCTGGGCTGCCGCCCCTCGCGCGCTGCGGTGGCCGCGCGGGCCGGAGCGGAGCGGGCTGGAGCGCGGCGGCCACGGCCCGGGGCGGGGGTGCGGGCCCGCGGGGGCGGCGTTGGGCGCCTTCCTTCGTCAGTCCCTCCCCGGCGGCGCGGGGGGTGGGGTGGGGGGGGGGCGCGGCCGCCGCTCGGCGCCTTTAAGGGAGCGGGAGGGAGCGGCGAGGCGGCGGCGGCTGCGGTGGCGGCAGCCGAGGCGAGCGGGGCGGGGGCGCGGGCGCGGCGCTCGGAGTCCGTTCGGGGCCGGAGGCGGTCGGGGCCGGGCCCGGGAAGCGCGAGGAGCGCGCGTAGCGCCGCCGGAGCCCGCCGCCCGGGACATGGCCAAGGCGGGCCGTGCAGGTGAGGGCGGGCGCGGGGAGGGCAGGGCCGGGGCCCGGGGGAGGGACTCGCGCGTCTAGAGGAGGGGCCGCCGGCCCAGGTGAACCCCTCGCGCAGGTGGGCGGAGGTCCCGGGAGGGCGTAGGGGGCGGTAGCGGGGCTGGACCTCCCGCGCGTGGAGAGGGGGCTCCGCGCGCCCCCCGTCCTTCCTGCGCCCCCGGTCACCTCGGGGGACACCGCGTCCCCTTCTCCACGGCCCCGCCGGAAAGGGCCAGGTCTGCGGCGCCCCGGGCCAGTCCCGCCGTTGGGAGCCCTCTGCACCCCGCGGAGGCCCCGGGCAGACCCGGGCTTCGCCACCGAAGGGGATGTCCCGCGGCCGCCGCTTCGTCCCACACCCCAACGCAAACCGGGACGCGCCCCCTGCTCCTGCAGCTCTCTCCATCCAGGACGCCACAACCCCCCGCCCCAGCCCCCGTCACCAGCTCAGTCCAGAGACCCAGATTCCTTCTCGGGAAGGAGGGGAGCCCCGTGCCGCGCCGGCTGCTGGCCGCCCCGCCCCCTCCCCCATCGACCCTGGGACGCAAAGCCTCAGCTGCGGAGGCCTCTTCTGGGGTCCCGTGGGCTCTGCCCTCCCCCAGGCTCAGACGGTGTAGCCTGTGGTTTGAGGGAGCGGGCATTAGTCATTCGTTCATTCATCCAGCCCGACGTTCATTCACTAGCATCTGCTCTGTGCCAGACCCTGAGCTGGGCACCGGGGCTCAGGCGGACTCAGCCCCCCTGCTGCGCCCATGCTGGGGAGACCCAGGCCCGTGACTCATCGGGCACATTCTGGGCCCGATGGTGCCTTGGGAGGCGGGTGGAGGACAGCTGTGCCCACAGGGCCGGCCATACAGTAGGCGGCAGCAAGCCTGGTCTCGGCAGTGCCTCTTGTGAGGCTGGCGTGTGAGAATCTACCATGAACTCACACCCAACCCGTGACGTTGGCTGGTGCCATGCCGTCCCCCAGGACCGGGCGCGACAGTGAAGGAATGGGTGTGAATACCATCGGGCTGTGTGTCAATCCACCCCCAAGCCCGAAAGCTGCCCGGGACCCTGGGCTGCGGACCCGTCTCCCTGTGCAGGCACTGAGCCTGTAAGATTTAGGTGCCTGAGAATGCACTCCCGTTCTGTCCCCAAGGAGTCCTGTCGGGGTGGGGCCGGTTGTGTGAGGCACAGCCAGTATGGAACACAGCTAAACAGCCTTCTCACTCCCCTCCCTTTTCCCCTCCTGAGGGAGGCACTGTGAGATGACACCAAGGAAGCTGAAAAAGGCTTCTTGCCTCCCTCTTTCCTCCACCGTGCCTGGGTCCTCACCCACCCCGACTCCTTAAAATGGCCTGTGGCAGGGCGTGTGTCCCATCTGCTGCCCTACCCTGTGTGTGTGTGAGTGTGTGTGTGCACTGGGACGCCTTGAGCACAGGTCACCTGCCAGGGCACTGTCATCGCAACGGCAGTGAACATTTGCTGCTTGTTCTATGTATTAGGCAGAGTGCTAAGCTCTTTACTGTACCGTGATCCTGGGAGGGAGGAAATGCGACTCTCCCACTTTTAAAACATCTAGAAACAGATACTCAGAGAAATAGCAGCCTCAAGGTGGCTTAGAGGGTCTGGGCAGAGCCTGGACTCACAGCCAGGTCTATTGGACTCGAAGGACTCTCTCTGTCACTGCCCTGATAGGTCACCCCCTTACCAAATGGGGGTGCCAGTCTCAGTCCCTCTGCCTTAGCCTGTGGGTCCTTTGGTCCCTGGGCTGAGAGTCTGTGGGAATTTGTTCCAGTGACAGGTGGAAAAACTGCCCTGCTCTGAGCATCAATGCCTTGTGCTGTTCTAACATTTTGGTTTTTTTCTGCTGCAATTTCACGCTTGGCCCTTTCCCTCGAGGCAACACAGATTCCCCGTGTCTGTAGATCCAGTGCCTGGGCTCCTGCCCCCCACACTCAGCAGTCATCCCAAGGAGTCTGGTTACCTCTCCCTTCTCAGCTCAGCTCTCCCAGGCTCCTCTGCATTTTGTAAATGTCCCTTCTCTCCTTTTTTTTTTTTTTTTTTTTTGAGATGGAGTCTCGGTCTGTCTCCCAGGCTGGAGGGCATGGCTTGATCTCGGCTCACTGCAACCTCCGCCTCCTGGGCTGAGGCGATTCTCCTGCCTCAGCCTCCCAAGTAACTGGGACTACAGATACATACCACCACATCCAGCTAATTTTTGTATTTTTAGTAGAGACGAAGGTTTCATCATGTTGGCCAGGCTGGTTTTGAACTCCTGACCTCAAATGATCTGCCTGCCTCAGCCTCCCAAAGTGATGGGATTACAGGTGTGAGGCACTGCGCCTGGTCTCCCTTCTCTTCTTGATGCTCATAAGCCTACTGAATCAAAAACAACACACAGTAATGTGTGTATGAGAATCACATATTCCTCATTGGCAACATCTGTGAAGAATAGATTGGTGAGCTTCAGAACAGAGGGAGCCCTTGGAGATCAGGAACCCATCTCTTTCTTCACAGCTGGGGAAACTGAGGCCCAAGGAGAACATAGAGAGCGGGGTGGCTGTTCAGTACCACCTGCCTCGGATGGGCAGACTGATGGGCAGGAATGATCAGGCCTTCACTCTGGCGGGGTGGGGCGGCGGGGGGTGACACAGGAACAAAGGGCTGCTGAAGGCCAGGAGTGGAGGCTGTGGCACCCGGCCTGTGAATGAGGGGTCTGCACCATGACCTGTGAGATGTTCCCTTTAAAATCTGGCCAGTAGATCACCCACGGAGAGAAAAGGCAGAGCTTTGGGCCCCAGGGCTGCCATGGTACCTGACTTTAGGTCATCACGTGTGGTCTAGTGAATAATACCCCTGGAGTTGTGCAGTGCACAGCCTGAGCAGCAGGTCATGGCTGTGCCAGATTTGTGGCATGGCTTGTGTCGGACAAGAGCTAAAAGGAGGCAGTGAAAGGACTCTTACACTGCCAGGAGAATCCAGGTACAAGAGAAATTGTTATCGGGGCCCAGAGAGGATGAGATAGATCTTCAGAAGGTGAATCCAGATGGGTTATTACCAGTTCTCAATCTCTAGGGGAGATTTCAGTTACACAGAAAGGCATCATTTATGGTGGCCCCAGTCTAACCAGCAACAGGGAGGTGGGGGCAGGGGTGGGGAGGATTCAGAAGCTCTGAGTAGGAGGGACAATTTACAGTACAGAGCTCCCCACGGAGCAGAGAGGCCAGTGAGTGGCTTGAGACAGACAGTGAAGGCTGGGTTTCTCTGGGAGATGGGCCCTAAAGGCTGGCACAGTTTGTATAGAAAGGTGGCCAGGGGCTCGGTGCGGTGGTTCGTGCCTGTAATCCCAGCACTTTGGGACGCCGAGGCGGGCAGATCACGAGGTCAGGAGATCGAGACCATCCTGGCTAACACGGTGAAACCCCGTCTCTACTAAAAATACAAAAACAAAATTAGCCAGGCGTGATGGTGGGCGCCTGTAGTCCCAGCTTCTTGAGAGGCTGAGGCGAGAGAATGGCATGAACCCAGGAGTCAGAGCTTGCAGTGAGCCGAGATCGTGCCGTTGCACTCCAGCCTGGGCTACAGAGCGAGACTCCGTCTCAAAAAAAAAAAAAAAAAAAAAAGAAAAAGAAAGGTGGCCAGGGGCCGGCTTCCAGGTGGGGGTAGTGGCTTGAACAAAGGCTAGGAGGATGGAAAGGAAGAGGCACATGTGTAAGTGTGGGAGGACTGCTATGGGTAGGGGTGGAAGGTGGGTAGGAAGTGCCCAAAAGTAAAGAAACCTGGCTGGAGCGGAAGAATGCAGAGGGCTAAAAGGAACTCCAAAGAGCATGAAGACAGGAGTGCCGGGGTAAGACTTGGCACTGTGTTTCGACAGATCCCTCTGGCTGGGACGCCAGGGCTCCTGGGAAGCTGGAGAGAGGCCAGCCTGGTGGAGCTGCCTTTGTTGGGAAGGGTTGATTCTGACTCCTGCCAGCCACACTGCCCCTCCCTTCCTGTCTACCTCCCTGTGCCCCTCCCTCTGCACCCCAACAGGCTGCCCCTCTCTCCCACTGAGAGAATGAGGGTAGGGGGTGGGGGCCAGGTCCCCAGGTTAGGCAGGAGCAGAGTGAACAGCCTAGAGGGTCTTGGCACCTCTCAGGCTGGGGCAGGAATATCTGCAGAGACAGAGCCGAGGCCACAGGGTTGGGCCTCCCAGGCTGGAGGAACCAGTTTATTCTCCTCTCAGGTGTTAGCCTCTGCTCTGAGGGGTGTAGCTGGCAGGCTTCCATGTGGCAAACCTAGTAATTTGAGTCAGTAAAGTACTGATCCTACGGTGTTAGGATGGGAGGGAACATTTCGATACTCATGTTCCAAGTCCTCGTTAACAATGGGTCGCTGAGGGCCCGTGAGAGGTAGGTATTTGGCCAACGTCACAGAAGAAGGTGACGGCAGAGCCTGGGTTTCCAGAGTTTGGACCTTGCTCTGCTGAGTCAGCCTCCTTTGGGGTCCTCCTGGAGTGGGGCGTGTGCTCTCACATCCTCCCAAAGCGAGACTTCTCCTGGGCCCCTTACTCTGTGGCTCCCAGGGGCAGTGACTAGTGGCTGGATCACTCAGAGGAGGAAACATCTGGAAGCTTGGAAAGGGGACTAGCGCAGATTAAAAAAAAAAAAATTTTTTTAATACTTTTTT